>NT_187659.1:0-196384 GCF_000001405.40 Homo sapiens | reverse complement strand
GAATTCCTCATGGCCAAGGGGGTGGGCAAGGGCTGCAGGGAGGAAGAGTGTACCCTGTTCCGGCCAGTGCACCAGGAACGGCTTTCTAACCTGGGCAGGAAGGCGTGAAGCATTCAGGATGTGGGGGGGCACACAGTTCCCAGTGTGCGCCCAGGGATGACCAAGAGAAGGAGAGGCGCCAGGGCTTCCCCTACCCTAGCCCGAGGGGGACTCCCTAGCCAGGATCCAGCAGATCCTGGCTAGGAAACGCCAGTGAACCATAGCGCCAGGGAACAGGACCAGGCCGCCGGCTCCGCCCACCGCTGCGGTCTTGGGGGACTGGGGGTGGCCCTTGGGACTGCTGTGGAGCCTGGGCCTGACCCACTGACTAGGCTGAGCCGGGAGACTGGAGAGTCGCATCTGGAGCTGGGCCCGGGGACGCCCGCTGGCGGGAGGGGTGCGCGCGAGTCGGAGGCCGCGGCTGACCCTGCTCCGGTGCCGCCAGGTACCGCATCAGCCCGGACAGCATCATCCTGTACCGGCAGAGCATCGGCACAGTGCCCACCGTGGACCTGGCCTCGCGCTACGAGTCCGCCGCGGTGGTGCTGCACTCGCCGCTCACCTTGGACCTGAGCGTCGCCTTCCCGACACCAAGAAGACCTACTGCTTCGACGCCTTCCCCAAGTGAGCAGGCTGGGGCAGGGACAGGGGCGGGGACGGGGACTGGGTCGGGGACGGGGGCGGGGCGGGGCGGGGCCCGGGCCCGGAGAGTTCTCACCCGCCCCACGCCCCTCCCGCAGAATCCAGAAGGTGTCCAAGATCACGTCGCCCGTGCTCATCATCCACGGCACGAAAGACGAGGTGATCGACTTCTCGCAGGGGCTGGCGCTCTAGGAGCGCTGCCCCAAGGCTGTGGAGCCGCTGTGGGTGGAGGGCGCCGGGCACAAAGACATCCAGCTCTACAGCCAGTACCTGGAGCGCCTGCGCCGCTTCATCTCCCAGGAGCTGCGCAGCCAGAGCGCCTAGCGGCCGCCGGGGCCCCAACCGGCCGGACCTCAGCAATAAGGCGGCCCCCGGACCTCACCCCGCACCGGCCTCCTGGGGGCTGCATGTGGACCCCCAGGTGGCCCGGGGGACCCCGCCCGGATCCAGGGGCCGTGGACGGTGTACAACAGAGCTACCCACTCCTTTCCTTTTGGAAGCAAGAAGAAATATGTGAAAACGGAAATTAAAGATTAAAAATTTTTTTTAAAAAAAACACAATGTTTATTAATATACTCCAAAGTTGTGTTCTTTTTTTTTTTTTTTTTTTTTGAAATGGAGTCTCACTCTGTCGCCCAGGCTGGAGTGCAGTGGCGCGATCTCAGCTTACTGCAACCTCCACCTCCCAGGTTCAAGCGATTCTCCTGCCTCAGCCTCCCGAGTAGCTGGGACTACAGGCGCGTGCCACCATGCCCAGCTAATTTTTTGTATTTTTAGTAGTTACGGGGTTTCACCGTGTTAGCCAGGATGGTCTCCATCTCCCGACCTCGTGATCTGCCCTCCTCGGCCTCCCAAAGTGCTAGGATTACAGGCGTGAGCCACCGTGCCCGGCCGTTTTGCACAGATTTTTTAATGCAGAATCATGTTGGCAATGGGTAATGGCTACCAAGGTGCCATCGTTCCACATTCCTGTTATTCAGTCATCACATCTACTATGTGTGAGCCATAATATCTTCTAAAATGAATTATAACTATGTTCGAATTGTTATTTCACTAAGTAATCTCTGCTAATTTAGTCTCTATTTCATCTCAACGGAATGCCTTCTGAGTTCCTATAATTGTGACTAATTCTCTGAGACAACATCAGCAGTATCACTATAAACTATGAAACCTACAAAGGGAATTTCCTCTTTTTCCTTTTTATTATAGAGATGCTTTTTTGTTTGTTTTCTGCAAGCAAGCACAGTCTTAATCAATTTTGTATGCCCATACCTAGGAGAGCCCCTGATTCATAATAAGACCTCAATAAGATTTGTTGAATAAAGTGAAAATAGGATTTTCAGCTTTCCCTCACCACTTTCTTCAAAACAGACTAGTTCATAACTGAAATAGGCATTGTTTCTAGAAAACGGTCACTCCAGCTGATCCCTTCGTTTAATCATTTTTGTACTCCCTGAATCTATGATGATACCTGGCACATAGTGGGTAAGTAATCAATATTTGTTCACTGAACTAATGGAAGGATGAGTGAATGAAACAATACAGGCATTTTAAAATTATAATTCAAAATTAACATATTACTTGTTATTAGAGTGATTTTAAACAGTTAAGTATATGATAATTAGGAAGATTTACTTTCCTGCTTCATTTAAATTTTAAATATAGTGATCAAGGTAATCATGATTTTCATTCATTTATGCAATAAATGCATATTTAATATTTTTTATCTCACATGATAGATTGCTGCTGGTCAAAGACATTACGATGGTATTATACATAAAGATTTGTTTTAAATTTACAGTATCTTGAAATTTTTCTCTTGTTAATCCACAAAGTATATTTATACATTGGGAAATATACTTTTTAAAATGTCAGTTAATGATATTTTTATTTTCTATTTTATCTTATTATTATTGATACAAGATCTCACTATGTCACCCACTGCTGGAATGCAGTGGCATAATCATGGCTCACCACAACCTCAACCTCCCAGGCCCAGGTGATCCTCCTACCTCAGCCTCCTCAGTTGCTAGGACTACAGGTGCCCGCCACCTTGCCCGGCTAACTTTTTCCTTTTTTTTTTTTTTTTTTTGGTAGAGATGAGTTTTCACCATGTTGCCCAGGCTGGTCTTGAACTCCTGGGCTCAAGCAATCTGCCAGCCTCAGCCTCCCAAAGTGTTAGGATTACAGGCATGAGCCACCACTATGGGGCAGATAATGATATTTTTTCAGGAATCGGTAAAACATTGTCCTTCAATGAATTAGTGCAGAAGCATGAAAAAATCTATTCTGAGCAAATCTGTGAAACAGACATTGAAATTAGTATTCTAATAAGGCTTTTGTGCTTTTTGATGATATAAAATAATTTTGCTATGACAATACAGTTACTTAAATGAGAAGTATGAATAACTTGCTTTGATATGTTTGTGGTATGTTTCACTTATTTTTTAAGAAGGGAAATTATTAAATTTAAACTCTCTATATATGTAAAGAGTGCACATCAAATATTTTAAAGCCCTGAAGAATTAGGTCTTCATTTCAAGAATTATTAAGTGTCTTAAGAACATATTTATTTTCTAGAAATGTTGAGCCTCTTCTTGGGTAATGTGATTCTTTTAAAAATTTTGAAAGGATTTTCTTATTACATTAAAAATGAATGTATGCAATAGGAAGTTACTAGGATAGAGTGAATTTAGCAGCTATCTTGCTTTGTTACATATGTCTTATAAATTAAAATTATATTTTCATAATTAAAAGCCAACAAGCTCATTTGCTTTTATAAGACTAAGAGAAAAGGAGTATTAAATGAAGTTAAATTAGATTTTACCATCTTTTTAATAAGTTTCAGGCCTGGTTTGATAATATATTCCCAGATACATAATTTAAAAATGATCTTTTGGCTGGGCGCGGTGGCTCACGCCTGTAATCCCAGCACTTTGGGAGGCCGAGGCGGGCGGATCACGAGGTCAGGAGATCCAGACCATCCTGGCTAACACGGGGAAACCCCGTCTCTACTAAAAATACAAAAAATGAGCTGGGCGTGGTGGCGGGCGCCTGTAGTCCCAGCTACTCAGGAGGCTGGGGCAGGAGGATGGCGTGAACCCGGGAGGCGGAGCTTGCGGTGAGCCGAGATCCGGCCACTGCACTCCAGCCTGGGTGACAGAGAAAGACTCCGTCTCAAAATAAATAAATAAATAAGAATTTAGTGAGAGCTGGTTATAGTTTGGAACCTCATTTGTGAAATAAACCATGTTTCAAAATATTTTAAGCAGAAATACATTTAAGTTGTAGCCTACAAATTACCAGAATTTGTCCTAGTCACCTAAATAAAAAATGTAAAAGTTCTACATTTTAACGTCCTTTCAACATTTTATGAACAGAAAACCCGGCAGGTAAACAGCTCAAGTCTGAATGGGAAATGATAACATATAAGATCAGCAGCATCCGCGCAAATAAAAAGTCAAATTTTTATCCAACACAAAACAATTACATACGCGTTAATCAAAAAGAAATTAGCAACGGCCAACCCCAATCCCATTACTTTCAAAAAAAGTCCTCTAACTTTCCTTTCCAGTTGAATGTACACTGATTGAAATGGTTGTTTTATGCGGACAATTGATTTTTTTAAATGAAATGTCTAATAGGGAAGTCAGTACATTACACTACCCATTCCAGAAAGCAGCCTTCCATTGAATTTACTCAAACTAATTGCTGAATTAGATGACCATGGAAAGTTACTGAGGGCATATCCAGCACTTTCTTCTGAACCAAAACTAAATCTGTTTTGGTCACTACTGCATTGCTATTCAAAATCAAGGACTGTTCGTCTCTCTGGAATATTAGTATCGTAAGCCTGGGGAGGTGACAATATCATGTAAGGGAGTTGTGGGGAAAGGAGTCAGAGTGTTGTGGCAATTCCCGGACCAAGGGAAAGAGTCTGTAGAAGTTCATAGAATCAGCTGACATGCTACGGTCAAAGAATTTGCAATTAGCAATTGACCAATCAATTTTGATTAACTCATTCTGTATGACTATCATAGGCTATTAAAAATAGGAAAGCGTGTTTCTAAAATGGGTTTCATAACAAGTGATTTAATGATAAAAGCTTGGACAGTTTTCAGAATTCAAAAATTCCGAGATACTAATATCTTTAAAAACTCCTGTCATTGTGTGTGTGTGTGTGTGTGTGTGTAAACACTACCTGTGTAATCATCTATTGAGATTTAAATTAGAACATTTTCTCAGTGTATCCCCGTTCTAAAGTTACTATTTATTATATTGCTATCCTAGGAACAGAGTGAGAAAAGGCAAAGAGGTAATTTAACACAGTCTTTTTCTGCTAAAATCAGAGTGTCTCTCATCTCTGCCTGAATCCAATACATTGTGATTACTGAAATACATATTATAGAATATCTACTTATTTTGTGGATTTAGGCAACGATTATGATTGTTGCTTTTCTCACATCTAAAAATCAAATTTATATTATACATGAAGACATTTTCTAAAGAACTTTTGGTCTGTATAAAAATGAATACTTAATAGAAACGTAATATTATTTTATGTTATTTGAATTGTTAAGTTTAAGAAAATAAAATGTTTTTAAATCTATTACTTTTAACAACACTGTAACATTTATTGGTTTTGGAATAAAATAGATCCAGAAAATTGCTGTGATATTACTTTTTATGTTTCTTATTGAAAGTAGGTCAATTAATTTCTAAGCAATGGGGCATTATAATTGTCAACTAACAGTGCTCAAGCAGTTAGGATTTTAACTGCTGACATTATTTTCTTTGAAAAATGATAGATGTCATTTAGTGTTTAAAGATAAATTGCTGCATAACAGTGACTTTTTTGCTGATAACTTTGCCATAAGCAAACATAACATGACCAAGAAGTTTCAAAGTGAGTTTTCTAGGCGAGCAAATCTAAATTAAAAAGGCTCTCATATTTCCTCAATCAGATATACTAACATCAACCAAGTGTTGTTTTCAATCTATAATATGAAAGGGCAATTGAGTCTGACTCAAACATCTGAAAAAGTTAATGTTAACACTTAGGAATATGTCTCCGTGTAGGAAAATTTTCACTGGCCATGGGCTATACCACATTTATCACAGGTGATTTTCAAGGGGACAAATATTGCCCATTTCAGAAACAGGTTTGGAATGCAGGAAACTGCCAGAAAGTAACTGTGAGAGTTTGCACCATGGCTGACCTGGAGGAAGATGTCAGAGTCACAGATGGAAAAGGGAGGTGCATGACTCCCCTCTGTTGCCAAGGTTCCCATTCTCAATTCAGAAGGGTTTGCGGAGGGGGTGAAGGAACATTGAAGTTTCTGAGATATTCCTTAAGGACCAAGCTATAATTCACAGCTATCTATTTACATCAGATCTCAGCTTTTTTTTTTTTTTTTTTTTTTTTTTTTTTTTTTTTGAGGAGGGTGCAGGAGGAGATGTGCGCAGAACATATGTATATGGCTTGCCCTAAAGGATGAAATAAAATTGTGTATGCTATGACCTCTCTAGGAAGCCTCTAAACTTTTCTTATAAATTGTCTTCTAACTAAAATATTTCTTTTGGCCGTCCTTGGAGTACTCCCAGGTGACACATAGCTCGGGCTAACATTTCTACAGGACTGCTACCTTGATCTCTAGAGAGTCCAATGATGTTCCATACCAATATGTCTCAGCGTCACTGCCGAGCTTCCACCCACACCCTTAACACACAGAGAAAGCTGACACTTTCTGTTAGCTATAATTTTCCTTGAGAAAAACGTGGCAATATGTAGCAAAATACAATTATTAGTTTCAATATGTAGAACGTATTACAAGAAAAAAAAGATGCCAAAAACATCTTGTGTCTACTGCTGTTCCTATTAGTCTTTATTATCATGAAAAACTGGTCGCATCCTAAATATCCAACTTTCGGTGACTGGGTGGAGGAAAACTGTAATTTTTCCATATGATAGAATAGTATGCCAGCACTAACAACCAGAGAGCAGACTATTTAATGTCATGGTAAAGTATTTGTTTTGTGTGGTCAGGTGAGCAG
The DNA here is from genome assembly GCF_000001405.40 of Homo sapiens. Classification (NCBI taxonomy): domain Eukaryota; kingdom Metazoa; phylum Chordata; class Mammalia; order Primates; family Hominidae; genus Homo; species Homo sapiens. The sequence goes on along the minus strand of NT_187659.1, from coordinate 189,649 downwards.
TTCAGATCATAAAATCAAATGTACCCTATGATCTTATTTTTTGAAGTAAAGTACTGATGTATTTATATGTATAATTAAGTATAGAGAAAAGCCTAGATGGCTTCTCTTATAAGTCTTTTCATTGTTTTATAAATGGTATCAATATTTATTTTTCACTTTTTCCATCAGATTTCCTAGAATAATAAAATTCAATTCCCTCTGATGAGCATTCATTATTCTTTTTTTTTTTTTTTTTTTGAGACGGAGTCTCACTCTGTCTGCTAGAGCTAGTGTGCAGTGGCCTGATCTCAGCTCACTGCAGCCTCCGCCTCCTGGGTCATTATTCTTACAGTAAGAAAAAATGAATGTTACTATCTTCTCTGTCCTAGATCAACTAAGTATATACAAGGTGCCAAATACATTTAATGAAATGTTTTATTCATTCATAGCTTTTTGCAGTACAATTTTTTTTGTATGATTCCCTTGTCCTATCATCTCCACCAATAGTTTTGGTGTGAATTTATACTCTAAAGGAAAGGTGACAACCTTATACAATCTCAGGGCTTAAATACTATCCACGTGCTGATGCTTACAAACATACACCTCCAGTTGTGTGGTCTCCCTGAGTTCTGCACATCCCTCTTGGGCATCTAACAAGCATCTCACAGTTAACAAAACCACTGATTTCTAATCAATCCCAGGGACCCTCCGCCAGGCCTGCTCCTCTCTCAGAATTCCTTTTCTCACTTAGTGACACTATCATCCCACCAAACCTCGCTATCATCTTTCTTCCGTCTCCCAAATTTCCAATCCATTAACAAATCCTAAAAACCCCGCTTCCAATATTTGTCTAAATCTATGCACTTCTCAGCTTATCCACTCTTATTATTCTAGCTCCAATTATGTGGCCTTCTGTCTGTGTTACTTTCTTTTTTCCATTCTTGTACGCAGGGTCCAGTTTTCATAGTGAAGTCCTCATAAAACATGTATTAAATTGTATCAGCTTCTGCTTACAGTTATTTATTTATTTATTAAATTTGTGATGTATTTTTATTTATTTATTTATTTTGAGAAGGAGTCTTGCTCTGTCATCCAGGCTGGAGTGCAGTGGCGCGATCTTGGCTCACTGCAGGCTCCGACTCCTGGGTTCAAGCGATTCTCCTTCCTCAGCCTCCTCAGTAGCTGGCATTACAGGCACGCTCCACCGTGCTCAGCTAATTTTTGTATTTTTAGAAGAGATGGGGTTTCACCATGTTGGCCAGGCTGGTCTCAAACTCCTGACTTAAGGTGATCCACCCACCTCAGCCTCCCAAAGTGCTGAGATTACAGGTATGAGCCACTGCGCGCAGCTAGTTTCTGCTTACAGTTTTAAAATGACTTCTTAGTCTATTTAGGAGAAAATATAAACTCTTTACCAGAGCCTACTGGACTCCCCAAAACATGATGTATGTTTATCTCCTCCCTTTAACTCACTCTGTTTTAGCCACCTGGCCTTCTGTTCTCTGAATAAAATAAACTTATTCCTGCCACAGGGCCTTTACACCTACTTTGCCTTCTGCCCCAGACACAGTTCTCACAGGTTTTCCCATGACTCCTTTCTTCTCCTTATTCAGCATCAACCCAAACATCTGCCCCTGAGTGGCCTTCACCAGCACACTCTTCTTAAATATCTTTCCTTACCTCACCTTGTTTGGTTTTGTGCATAACATGTGTCAGCTACAATACTGGTTTCATTGGTTTGTTTATTTACTTTTTTCTTACAATGGAAAGCCCATGAGAGCAGGGTTGTGTCTGCTTTATTCACAACTTTAACCTCAGTGCCTGTACAGAACCAGGACCGTACTAGAAACTCAGTGAGCATTTGTTGAGTATCTTGAACGAATTAATTATTAAAACATTAAAAAGTGACATTTTCCAAGTAAAAATCTTTATCTACTTCCTTAGTGACTCTAATTGCAGACAATGCAAGGTAGAAATGAGGTTCAGATCAATGGCAGGCCAAGAAAGGCATTTTTGGGTGAGTCCATGCAGGCAATGTTTGCTATTGTGGCTGATTTACTTCCATATACTTTAACACAGGTATGTCCCTATTGTGAGACACGGCATTTTTCATAGTATAAAGGTGGAAAGCGAACTTCATGTTATAATAAAAAATAAAGTAAATTTTATACAAACACTAAGAAGTGATCATCTAAATCTACAGTTTAGAATCTGAAACCTATTCCTATGTTGACATCTTCCATGGCCCTACTCCTTAATTAATAAATTCTGACTTACAGAAGGCTATTTTCTGAATCCTTTCATAGCTGACATTGTGGTGGGTGCTGTTAGCCATCCCTTGATACTGACAGCACAATGGCCATCCCTGCCAGGGCACGCGTACACCATCAGTAGTCAAAAGTTTGGCAAAGTAGGCCGGGCGCCGTGGCTCACGCCTGTAATCGGCACTTTGGGAGGCCGAGGCAGGTGGATCACCTGAGGTCGGGAGTTCGAGACCAGCCTGAGCAACATGGAGAAACCCTGTCTCTACTAAAAATACAAAAAAAATTAGCCGGGCTGTGGTGGCACGTGCCTGTAATCCCAGCTGCTCTGGAGGCTGAGGCAGGAGAATCTCTTGAATCCAGGAGGCGGAGGTTGCAGCGAGCCGAGATCGCGCCATTGCACTCCAGCCTGGGCAACAAGAGGGAAACTCTGTCTCAAAAAAAAAAAAAAAAAAAAAAAAAAAAAAAATTGGCAAAGTAAAACACTTCTCTTCATCTCCAGGAGAGCAGTTCATGAAAGAGCATATTCTTAGATATTAAAGGTAAATTTTCAGTGACACCTGTGCAAGATATGACTTTCCGCTGTCCTCTATAAAAATCTACATTTCTATCATATAAATCTAGCAGATCTTAAAATGATAGACCTCAAAGGTAGCACTGCATTTTATATTCTCTTGCAACCCCAGAATGAAACTTAAGCATGAATAATTGGAGATCTGCACACTCCTATAAAGAATAAAGAATGGGACTCAAGTTCACACAGAAGCTAAAAAAGAAAGGCAGGATGACTTCCCTCTGCCACCTTGAAAAGGCTTTGAAACCTACGAAACAAGAAATGGGGAGGGGGGTTGCTGAATGGGTAATAAATATATGAGCCCTCCTCCTAAGGGTTTTTATAATCCTTTCTATCTTGGGTATCTATGTGTTCCTCTGTGAATGTGTTTTCTTATAACGGCACTTCTCATGGAACAGCTCTATCCTTATTATCTGTAACAGGGTCTCTGTTCTGCTTTCATCATGTATATATCTTAGAAAAACAATCTGAACAAATGTCCAGTTAATATGTATATTTATGTATTTATAAATTATATGTATATGCTATTGCACTAATATATTACATATTTTATATACCTTACTACAACCAAAGAAATATAAAAGAATGAGATGGAATAAATATATATTTAAGTTCTAGTTTTTCTTCCTCCATCCTCTGTGGAATGCTTACCCCACTTAAGAAACCCCTAAGATTTCACTGTGTCCTCACAGTGAGATTGTACTCACTCCTCAATGAGAGAACATTAATATTAAAGCTCTTTTGGTTTTATTATCAATTATGCGGTCGAATTTTCAAATAATCTAGCTGTACATATTATACTACAGTGGACGATACTGTGAGGTACCAACTGGACCAGCTCAGCAGAGGCTGGAAGGTTTAACTCATCAGTAGTCATGATACCACTTTTCTCTTAGACTTTTCCAATAGAATTTATTTTTGGTTTTGCCAGCCAGGGTGAGAGCTGTTTTCTATAGGTATCAATGGTAGAATAAGCATTGTTGCCTCACAGAAGGGAGAAGTCTACGGTATTGGACACCAACCCCCAAGTCCTTCTTACATATCCTCTCCTTGAGAGATAGGGACTCGTGAAAAATGGAAACCCAGGAATTGGCTCTGCATAAACTTAAGCTTTGTCTTTGCAGAACAATTATGAGAAGCCTACTACTGGCTCTGGAATATGTTGTATGCAATAAAAACTCTGTACTATTTAGGTATTGTTTCTGATGCACGATACTAGAAATAAGCATCAGCTAGCCATGCAAAGTTCTGCTTAGGAAAAATGAAAGTATATTCAAATATAAATTTTTATAAAATGACTATTAACTAAAAAAAAAAAATAGCCTTTCTTTCCCCAAACATCAATAGATGCAGAATGCAGAGTAATATTTACAACATGCAACATCATGTTTGGTTCTAATTAATAGACTATTTCAATGAAATATTATTTTGATAAATATGTTCATGCTTCATTTGTCATGTATTAAAAACAGCAATACACACTCACTTGATGAAAAATATTATTGAAGATAAAAGAGAAGTATTTCATAAACAACCATTAGGTAGATTATAAGATAACATATAAAAGGTGATATAGGAAATAAATATTAGAAGTACATATTATTCATCTATGACCTAATTTGTATTGAAATGCTGCAAAAACCTTCATAGCAACATTCAGAGAATTACCTGAAAGAAAACTCTGGCATCTTCTATGGTCTTCTATGTGTTTTCTTTAATGGTCACAGTGATTCCCACGTTCAAACTTATTCACTGAAGACAATGCATGTCCTGAGATTCTCATTATTGAAATGCTGAGGCTGAGGCTTGCTTTTCACATATACAGATTGTCCAACATTAAAATACCACTGCATATTGACTGCATACAAAAATCATTAAACTAAATATTCCCAAAAGTCCTGATACAAATAATGTGTTACAATATTTTAGGCAGGATTATCTGATAGGGTTAACAAATTTATCAAGTATAACAGAAAGTGACCACTTATTATTTATTATTGGCTATACCAAAAAATATAGGATCAGGACTTACCTGAATAACATGCTTCAGTTTATCAATAATCTGATTTATCACAGGATCAGTTCCTTTGACTTTGACTTCAGGATTTCCAGACTGGGCTTTGATTCCATTTCCAACCACATGCTGAGTATAACTAGCAAAGGGAAATGTGAAAGATATATGACTTAGTACCTGATCAGAGTATTATCTGCCACAGCTATCTGAACATAGTTGAGGTCAGAATTTCCTCCTTTAGAGAATACACCAATGTGTTTTTTTCTTGGAACAGAAACTGGCACAGCTATAATGCTTTTGCAGGTAAAATGCTAAAATGCTTATTGTGCCATTAGATCATTCTAAAAATAATGTTATTCTCTCAATGGACCCAACCAAAAATTACTTGTTTTTTAATACTACTTAACAATATGCTACAAAGAGTTGACATATCTCACTTTGTTACCAGTTCTTGCTGAATTATACATATGTCTGTACCCCTATTGTCTGGGTGAGCTTATTTTATGCAGTCCCAATCTTATTTTTTAAATATCAGGCTACTATATATGTGTGTGTGTGTGTGTGTGTCTATATATATATAGAATATGTATAGAGAATATATATAGGATAAACATATAGAATATATATAGACTATATAGAATATATATAGACTATATAGGATATATATAGAATATACATAGACTATATAGGATATATATAGAATATACATAGACTATATAGGATATATATAGAATATACATAGACTATATAGGATATATATAGAATATACATAGACTATATAGGATATATATAGAATATACATAGACTATATAGGATATATATAGAATATACATAGACTATATAGGATATATAGAGTATATAGACTATATATAGGATATAGATAGAAAATATGTAGACTATATACAGGATATCGATAGAATATATATAGACTATATATAGGATATAGATAGAATATAGATAGACTATATATAGGATATAGATAGAATATAGATAGACTATATATAGGATATAGATAGAATATGTATAGGATATAGATAGAATATAGATAGACTATATATAGAATATATGTAGAATACAGATATAGAATATAGATATAGAATATATATGGAATATAGATATAGGATATATATAGATAGAATATAGATATACACACACATATATATTTCCTAATTAGGTCCTTCAAGAAATAAGTGATTAAACTTTTTAATAATGATAGTATCAATTGGACATGATAACAATAATGTTATTAATAAACTCTTTGATTTTTAAAATAAACTTGAACCCATTTCTTTTCATAGTCATAGAGGGGCTTAGAGATAAGAATTTCAGTATCCATTAGGGATTTGCAGTATACACCAGTAACAAATAGTAGAAAGAAAACAGTTATATCTATTTTGTTAATGTGTAATGATATTCTTTACTTTAGAAAATAAAATTATATATAGTATATCTATATATAATATATAATATCTATTATATGTAAAATATATATAACTGTACAAGTCAATATCATAAATTATAACTGTACAAATTAAAATCATCAAATTTATAAGCAACGAAAATGTGCGAAGTATTTCCTAAGTAGAGGAAACAATCTGCTTTCGCCTAGGTTCACCTAAACAAAGATCTGGTAAATCATGTGGTAGGTAAAAAGGGTCATTTCACAGGTGGTGAAAGCCATTTGAAATTTCACTACCTTCCCCAAATTACAATCATACGTCAACTTAGAATTAATAAAAATATTTAAATTCATTAGTCGCAAAGATGTCTTAAGTGAATGCTATATTCCAAGTCCTGTACTAGGTCTTTAGGATTATAAGAAGGTGTAAGACTCAATTTTTGTCCTCATAATGCTCATTACTTAACCAAGAATATAACAGATTAATTAACTCATTCATTTGTATGCTTATTCATTACATTTTACTACATTTAAAAAATACCGTAGATTTCAGCCATATAAATACCCTTGTTTGCCTGACAGAAGAGTGTAATATAAACACAACTGAACCGTTAAAATACAACATTATGAAAGTAGATGGAAGGAACTGCACGTGCCACGTGTGAGGAAAGATAAGACAGGTGGTAGATATTCTGGATATAGAGAAGCCCATTTGAACTCAGACACTAGGGAAAAACTAAAGGAGAAGTTATAACTTGAGGTAGCCTTGGATGTATTGAGGTAAGAAGAGGACATCTATGGTATGGTTAATGAGAACTTCAGGGCAAAGGATGTCATCCCAGCAAGGAAAACGGCAAAGGTACTTGAACAAGGCAGACAGGGAGAACAGGCCTCTATTCACAAAGCAGAGAGTACAAACGTTGGAAAGCAATGGATAGAGGGCCACACCCTGAAGATTCCACCCTGAATGTTGAAGACTCTCCACTGAGTGATATAATGGGCTCTGGAGATTCATAAGGGGGAAGTTGGCAGGTGGGTGTGGAATAAAAAAGCTACATGTTTGGTACAATGTACACTACTCAGGTGACAGGTGCAATAAAATCTCAGACTTCACCACTATACAAATTATCCATGTTACCTAAACCACTTGTGCTCCAAAAGCTATTGAAGTAAGACATTTATTTATTTATTTATTTTTATTTATTTATTTTTTTGAGACGGAGTCTGGCTCTGTCGCCCAGGCTGGAGTGCAGTGGCGCAATCTCGGCTCACTGCAAGCTCCGCCTCCCGGGTTCACGCCATTCTCCTGCCTTAGCCTCCCGAGTAGCTGGGACTACAGGCTCCCGCCAGTACGCCCGGCTAATTTTTGTATTTTTAGTAGAGACGGGGTTTCACTGTGTTAGCCAGGATGGTCTCGATCTCCTGACCTCATGATCCGCCCGCCTTGGCCTCCCAAAGTGCTGGGATTACACGCTTGAGCCACCGCGCCCGGCCAAGACATTTAAAAAATGAAAACAAAACACTATCACCTGAGTCATTTGTTTGCTTACATTAAATATCATAATACTTTTCAGCAAAAAATATTATCATTTTAATGTAACTTTCGTTCCCTGTATTTGAGCGGAGTACTGCACTATCCATAAACACCCTCTGAATTTTCTACAGTAATGGAAAAAAATCTTTGAAAAAAATAAAAGAAGGTTCTATGTTTGAGAATATGGCTATATGAAAGGGGTTTCAAGAAATATCCAGTTCTTCCCAAGACGATGTACTTCCAGTGACCAGTTTTAAGAAGTGGAACAGGCCAGGCGCGGTGGCTCACGCCCGTAATCCCAGCACTTTGGGAGTCCGAGGCGGGCAGATCACGAGGTCAGGAGATGGAGACCATCCTGGCTAACACGGTGAAACCCCGTCTCTACTAAAAATACAAAAAATTAGCCGGGCGTGGTGGCGGGCGCCTGTAGTCCCAGCTACTCGGGAGGCTGAGGCAGGAGAATGGCGTGAACCCGGGAGGCAGAGCTTGCAGTGAGCCGAGATCACCTCACTGCACTCCAGCCTGGGTGACAGAATGAGACTCTGTCTCAAAAAAAAAAAAAAAAACCAAAAAAAGGGGATCGAATATTTCCTAACGAGGTCCTTCAAGTAATAATAAGTGATTAAACTTTTTGATAATGATAATATCAATTGGACATGATAAAAATACTATTAATAAATCTTTTGATTTAAAAAATAACCTTGTACCCACTTCTTTTGTAGGCGTGGGGGGAGCTTAGAGTTAAGTATTCCAGTATCCGTTAGGGATTTGGCAGTATACATCAATAACAAATAGTAGAAGGAAAATAATTATACCTGTGTCTCATATATATATATATATATATATATATATATATATATATATATATATATATATACACACAGAGAGAGAGAGAGAGAGAGAGAGAGAAACCATCTCTTAAATTACCTGTAGCACCACTATGTTATTCTTTACTCTCCCAATACCCCAAGTAGATTGCACATGTGACTCTTTTATTAATGTGTTGAATATTCATAACGATAATGAATAATATGAATAAATAAATTGATAAGTGCGTAACTATGAATTAGGCATTGCTTTACTCTTATCTGGAGATTTCAATTCATGATAAACATCTTTTAGTGACCATGAATAAGAAACTCATAGACCTGCATTAGAGAAATGCAAATCTAAACCACAATGAGATACCATCTCACTCCAGTTAGAATGGCAGTCCTTAAAAAGTCAGGAAACAACAGATGCTGGAGAGGTTGTGGAAAAATAGGAATGCTTTTACACTATTGGTGGGAGTGTAATTTACTTCAACCATTGTGGAAGACAGTGTGTGAATTCCTCAAGGATCTAGAACTAGAAATACCATTTGACCCAGCAATCCCATTACTGGGCATATACTCAAAAGATTATAAGTCATTCTACGATAAAGACACATGCACACGTATGTTTATTGTGGCACTATTCACAATAGCAAAGACTTGGAACCAACCCAAATGTCCATCAATGATAGACTGGATTAAGAAAATGTGGCACATATATACCATGGAATACTATGCAGCCATAAAAAAGGACATGAGTTCATGTCCTTTGCAGGGACATGCATGAAGCTGGAAACCATCATTCTCAGCAAACTATCACAAGATCAGAGAACCAAACGCCGCATGTTCTCACTCATAAAGCAGGAGTTGAACAATGAGAACACATGGACACAGGGAGGGGATCATCACACACTGGGGCCTGTGGGGTGTGGGGGTGTAGGGGAGGGATAACATTAGGAGAAATACCTAATGTAGGTGACGGGTTGATGGGTGCAGCAAACCACCATGGCATGTGTATACCTATGAAACAAAACTGCAAGTTCTGCACATGTAACCCAGAGCTTAAAGTATAATTTAAATAAATAAATAATAAATAAATAAATAAACTCATAGACCTCAAAGTATGGGAAGCCTAACTGCCTACGGCCACTTGCTGCTTCACTCTAAAATCTGTTTCTGCATCTGCCCCTCAGTCAATGACTGAGGGCCACAGGGTGGCTAATGCAGATCCCTCTTTAGGAGACACAGGGCTTCTCTGAGGACCAGTCTTGGCTCAGGATTCCCTGAAGCCTTTTCTCACCCTTCCTTAGACTGTACATTACGCTCCAATGCTTCCACTCAACCTTCCTTTCCTCTTTCCTTCATTCTAGGTCAGACTTGCCTCATAGCTGAGACCTCTTCCAGGCTTACTCAGCTTCCTCTCCATTTTCTCTCACAGGGATTTCCCTTAATAAAATCCTCTTGTGTTTAACTCGTTTTCAACATCTACCTCTTGGAGGACCTGGACTAACCCACCACATAATGTTTGTATTATAATTACTTCCATTCTACAGGTTGAGAATCTGGGATCTGGAGAAGTTAAGCAACTTAAGTTACTCAAGTAAGGCCACACAATGTATATAAAGTGTGCTGCAAGGAGTTAAACCCAGGGAACGCACACTCCAAAACAGAACCATCAACAAGTACCAATCCTGAAACCAACTAATAAAAGGTAAAGATACAATTAGCTTGGTGCAAAATGTTATTTTTCTCTCTAATTACATTTTCTAAGGTTTCACTGTTTGTGATTAAGAAGGGAAGAATGATTTTCATCAAAACTCTGCTCAACAAGCCGGGTGTCGTGGCATGCACCTGTAGTCCCAGCTACTGAGGAAGCAGAGGCAGGGGGATCACGTGAGCCCAGGAGATTAAGGCTGCAGTGAGCTGTGATTACATCTCGTTGACCATGTGACCCTGAGTGTAACTCATAGACCTCAAGCCTGGGCAACAGAGCAAGACTCTGCCTTAAAAAGTAAAACTAAGCAAAACAAAACAATCCTGAACAAATGGTTGCACATAACCAGCTAAACAGTAATATAACAGTTGTTGGCAGGGTGAGAAGAAACTAGCAGACTGTAGGTTTGTCATACTGTTTTTTTGTTTCTCCAGAAACACAGATATAATATAGGCAATGAAAGCTGAGACTCATCTCTTAATTTCAGTTAAGCTATTAATTGATTTACATCATTTACTCACAGGTCAGAAAAGTTTCTTTCAAAAGGCAGGAATGTTGTTTCATGTTAATCTAAGGACTTGCTTACCTTTTGTTTCTGTTCTTAATGATCACAGTTACTAATACAGTTAAATAATATTTAGATAAAATACATTACAATTATAGCTGATCAAAAATCTCATTCCAAGCTGTTATATTGTTGACTATCTCATGATCACTCTTCTTATGAATCATGTAAATAGGGAAAAATACTGCAAAGTAGACCCACGTTACTTCAAATGAAATATGATTTAATAAAATCAGTTATTCTTTGCCAATTTTGTAATCTTCAAAATAACCACAATTGAAATAGTGATACATACACATCAGAACAGTTCAAATGAAAGAGAGAAATGATACCAAGTGTTGGCAAAGATGCGGAGCAACTAGAACTCTCTCCCATTGTGGATGGAAATGTAAACTGATGGACACCACCATTTTCCATGTATGCTAAATCTGACCATATTCTATGACCCTGAGCATATACCCAGCAATATTTACCAAAAGACAAATACATGAATGCTCAGAGAGGCACCATTCAAAATAACCACAAATTGAACTTATATTTGTATAATGATATAGTATATAGCAATGAGAACCTAACAAATTACAACTATATGCAAAAAGATTAACAAATCTTATAAACTAAATATTGAATGAAAGAAGCAAGATACAGAACATATACTACGATCTAATTCACTAAAAATTGTAAAACTCATCAGTTATGTTCCAAATCACCATAAGAGCTATCCTATGAAATAGTGTCTAGAAGAAGTAATAATATAAAATTTCCTGATTTGAGTACTGGATACACAGAAGGGCTAAGTTTGTTTAAAAACAAAAGAAGTATTGAGCTGTACAGTTAAGATTTGGGTATTTTACTGTTTGTATGTATTTTCAGCGTTAGAAAATTATGTTAAAAAGTCTTTATGCTCTTTTTCTTAATATATTTACAATAGACAAATTTTCATTAAGCCACAGTATAAATAAAAAAGACCCACACAGGTATTTTTAACATGGATGAAGTGGTTCTGTCATCATTAAATGAGTACTTTAGGATGCAAGTCTGATATAAAAACTTACTTCCCTGAAGACTTTAATTTTGCATGCAAAATACACGGTTTCTAAATTAAATTTTTTTGTAACAAAGCGTTTTTGAGTTCCCCTCATGAAATTTTAATAAATCATTAATTTCTTCTTTTTCTCTTTCATGCACAAGCAGTGGATAAACATTTCAAAGATCCCTACAGAAGTTTCTTCCCTTGAAATACTGTTCACATGACAATGAGAAGGATGGAATAAAACACAAAAAAGGTAAGCAATTTTTTTTTTTTTTTGAGGCGGAGTCTTGCTCTGTCGCCCAGGCTGGAGTGCAGTGGCGCGATCTCTGCTCACTGCAAGCTCCGCCTCCCGGGTTCCCGTCATTCTCCTGCCTCAGCCTTCGAAGTAGCTGGGACTACAGGCGTCCGCCACCGTGCCCAGCTAATTTTTTGTATTTTTAGTGGAGACGGGGTTTCACCGTGTTAGCCAGGATGGTCTCCATCTCCTGACCTTGTGATCTGCCCGCCTCGGTCTCCCAAAGTGCTGGGATTACAGGCTTGAGCCACTGCGCCCGGCCAACAGGCAAATTTTTCGTTGGGGAAGTAGTAGACCAACCATCTGTGCTTATTTCTTCTAAACAGAGCTGGGAATGAGTGACAGCAGTTGAACAGGAACACTTGCTCCCCAAGCACTACTTGTTTTTCATGAAGAAGGAAAAAAGGCAAAAGCCCTGCTACATTTACATTCGCAAAATTGTTTTCAAATGAGGATTAACAAGATGTTAGTTCCCTCTCTGTTGAACACATAAAATATTAAAAGGCAGTGCTAATACATCTATATACAGCACATCAGGAGGAAGGAGGAAGTCATTTCTCCTGACTTTACCAACTTGTCTTATTTGAAACTGATACCGTGCCCTATTGGCTGATAGGAGTTTCACTTTATTTAGAATACAATAGAATTTGGCTCAGATTCACACCAAAAGTATAGTATTTTGAGGTGCACTTACACGACTTCAGGGGAAAACAATATCTGGAATGTGACCCTGGAATTCATTACAAGTCAGTTAAAGGGATCTCTCTTAGAATTTTTTGATAATTGGACTGGGACAGGATGTAAGAATAAATCATTAACAGTAGATGAGGAAAACACTTGACGAGAGCTTTCTCGTCTTACCATTACTGCTCTTTCTATCAGAGGTTAAAGACAGAATGGGGACCATGTTGTGGTTGTTATTCTTGTTGTTTGATTGGTTTGTTTATTATGTTCTTGCATGACTTGGTTATGTGGCTGGATATGAAAATTCTTTCCATTTCCAGAGTCATAAATCTCCTAATTTCTAGGAGATTAAATACTGGTTTTATCTTTGGCTCCAGTAAAAATGTTGCTATCTTGGATTAAAAGAAGGTTGGGAAATACGTTGTGTCTATTCACCAGTGAATGGGAACCCCTTCTACAACAACAAATTTTCCATTCAAACCATTTCTAGGCCTCCCTTCCTGGTTCTGATAGCAAATGTGAAAGCAAGTACTAGAGATTTGGGTTTTGTAAGTTTCCTCAAATACTTGGGAAATACTGGATTCCGTTGCCAAGTGTTGCCTTTTGTACATTCAGCTTCTACACAGCACGTTTTCTCTATGTTGAAAGTCCTAATCCTTGAAATCTCAGAATGGAAAAGAGTTATATGACTAATTTTATGTGCCAGGATTATGGGAATAAACTTTCATGGAAGATAGGAAGCTTACAGGGCATTTAGAGAAAGGAGACATCTGTAGAATCAATTCAGAATGATTAAGCCCCTTGTGATCTCACTATCTCACTTCAATTGTTAAGCCACAAAACTCTTTTTAAGTTAATCTCTAACATTTATTTGGCTTTATAATTACATATAAATAATGTCTAAATTTGACACCTATGTTTCCAAACTTAATAATGAAGTCAAAATAAACAGAATTAAGGAGAGCTTATTACGATCTTTATTGTTATTTATATATAACAAATTTCCTATTAAGAATATAATATTTTATGATATCTTATGGATGTCATTAACATTGCTTTAATAAAGGTATTATCATGCTTTGTACAGCAACCAACACGAAAATGTTAGTATACCACTGCAATAAATAGAATAAAAACATGTTCAGAAAGACTTAGAAACTCATTAAAGAACGGACGTTAATCACTTTTCACCCTAACTCCTCATTTGGCAAGGCATGAATCTATGCATTCCAGTTTAGACAGGTGGCAAGTAAGTAGTCCCATTGCATTTCATAAAATAAGCAGCTGCGTGAATTTGAAAGATACTATTTCCACATGAAAAGCTAATGACTGCACATGTAAAATCAGTAGTGTTTAGGAAGCTGTCATTTAAAAAACAACAAACTACCTAATTAAAAAGTAGCACAAATGAACTTTTGCCTATGTAAAAAATAGAACATTGCTTAGCCTTTTCTTAAACCCCTCCCCAATTCTTACCAAGAAAGGATAAATACCTTTATTATAGTCAAAGCTCTGTTTTTATGGTTTTTGAATTTTTTAATCTAAAATTCAAAGCAAATAATCAATCTTTAATTTATATTTATCCCAGTTTGATTCAAAGTGACGGTCCAAAAGTAAAATGATCAATTATAACTATAATCAATCACAAATAATGCTATGTGAGTTTGAAATGTTAATCTAAGTTGCCTTTTCCAGGTATGCGTTTTAAAATTAAACTCTTCTCAGTAAGATCAAGGCTATCCTTCATGGATTTATGATGTTTGATAATCACCACGTTGTACTGATTTGCTGTCTCACTTCACTGTTTGATATCAACATATGAAAGTAAAAATGCTATTTAGGGGATAACTATTATCTGAGCACTAATAAATTAAATGCTATTTTAAGCCAACAACAAAATTGTTTAGGGTACAATTTTTATTTAACCAACTGTCCATTATAAACATTATAAAATTCTGAAAGATCCTAGAATCTTATATAGCTTTTTTGTATTTTTTCAAATGTAGTTGACACCAGCATGAATTAAATTTCATATTTAAAAAGCTTCTGACTACATTACAACATACTTTAAAATTACTTGCAAGATATGATAATTCTAAGATTACCCACATATCATGCAAATGAAACAGCCAGGTACTTCCTACCAACACATGATACAATAAAATCCAGAAGAACTTCTGAATTAGAGTGTAGTAGTTGCCTAGGGCCATCATACCTAATTATCACACACTTGGTGGGTTAAGAGGACAGAAATATATTCTCTCATAGTTCGGAAGCCTGGACCTCTGAAATCAAGATGTTGGCGGGGCCACACTCCCCCTGAAGACCCTAGGGAAGAATTCTCCCTCGCTTCTTCCTGGCTTCCAGTGGCTCCTGGCAATCCTTGACCTTCTTTGATTTATGACTGCATAACTCCAATTTCTGTCTCCATCTTCACATGACCTTGTGTGTGTCTTTTCCTGTATGTTATAAGGACATTTACACTGGATTTAGGGCCCACCTTCACCCAGGATGACCTCATCTCAATCACTGGGTTAATTATATCTGCAAAGACCCTACTTCCAAATAAAATCACATTCTAAAGTTCCTAATGGACATAAATTTTGGAGGTACGGTATTTAAATCACTACACAGAACATGTAAAGACAAAAATCTGGAAGCTACCTGAATGAAAATGGATATTCCCTTGAACTTCGACAAAATCATATTCTATTTTTCCATGAGAAACATTTTATTACTCTAAAACAATATTCATATTTCACAAGTACGCCTCTTAAATTATAGCTTGGACTTAAGAAAAATAATTAGCTTTGGAAATTATCAGTACATGATATCTAGTATTTCCTATATTTTTAAGAACTTCTACCTCCTAGCAAAAATAAACAATGCAATGGATAATTTCTGTGTTCTAAATTCACACACACAAACAGGAAAGGGACGTTAAAAATGATTTGTTCTCTTTTAAAGCAGAAGCCCAACCACCTGCTCTGAATCAAAAAGTTTCCTGAAAGCAATGAAGGGCTAGTTTATTATGAAGGTGTTGATAGCTGATTCTGTGGAGACTCACACAGAAACAAAGAATAAATTTTAATCACACTTAATGCTAATGTGGTAGTAAGGTTGTGACAATATTCAAATATGACTAATTTCATTGAATTAACTACACTCGGGCTTAGCTTAGTTGTCCAAATTTATTACAAATAGCTCAAACTAAATAATTCAACTCTTCTGTTTTCTATTTATTTTTTGTTGATGCTTAAGAGTAAAAAGATATTTCAACTGAATTTTTTTTTTTTTTTTTAGCAATCAGTTCTCTTGTTTTATCACCATAAGACTGTAAACGGCCGTAACAGGTCACTGAATCTAGCACTGCCTTCAACAAGAAATGCACCTAGAGCAGGAATATAGTACTTGGCACTCATCTCTAGACCTATAACCTAACAGATTTTTTTTTTGTCTGTCTTTGGTGAAAGTAACGTAAATTTAGAGCTGGAAAGGACCTTAGAGGTCATCTAGTCCCACCCAAGCATCTTTGAAAACAAAATAAAGACGTGTGTTGGCCTGATGCGGTGGCTCACGCCTGTAATCCCAGCACTTTGGGAGGCCAAGGCGGGCAGATCACAAGGTCAGGAGATCGAGACCATCCTGCCTAACATGGTGAAACCCCGTCTCTACTAAAAATACAAAAAATTAGCCGGACATGGTGGCAGGTGCCTGTAGTCCCAGCTACTCGCGAGGCTGAGGCCGGAGAATGGAGTGAACCCAGGAGGCAGAGCTTGCAGTGAGCCGAGATCGTGCCACTGCACTCCAGTCTGGGCAATAGAGTGAGACTCCGTCTTAAAAAAAAAAAAAAAAAAAAAGAAGCATGTTTATTTCATCATTTTGTACTTATACACTGTGTATTTCCAGAAAAGCCCCTGAGACAGCTTAGAATGAAAGGCACAGACACTATAAAACAAGCGCAAAATGACAGAATAATGAAGAGAAAGAGGTGACAATTACATGGGACAACCTAGGGAAGGAAACACTACCCTTCAGCCTAAAATTTAGTCCTAAGCCCCTTGTTCTTAAAGGCCAAAAGGAAAACCAGAATTCAAATAGGTATTGTTAGTTAATAAAATAGTATCTGGATATATCAGCAACTATTTTTTGGTAACTCTAAACTCAAGCAAAATATATGTCTTTAAGCAACAGACAATGGACAATATAATAAAAATAATCTTCCATAGCAATTTCCAAACTTTTAAAGATGTAAGAACAAATGATCTTTTCTTACAGGATGCTTAGTTGAAAGCTGCCCGCATGATGGTATTTTAAACTACATGATGTTAAATTCCCTGCATGATGGTATTTTATTGGGACCTGGTTATATGATTTGGTGAAGAATGTAACCTTTGAGAACTTAGAAGAGTGAATGGTTAATATTTCTCTGAATTTTTTTGTTTTTAATTGATATTTTATTTTATCCCTCATAGACAATATATGTCTGGGAAATACACTGAAGTATAGTAAAAAAGAATCTAAGGGTTAAAGTGTTGAGGTAAATGAGAAAGCAGAGGTTGTGTCTGAAGAACCGTGTGGTCGCACTGCACCACACAGCAAACAGAAATATGGGTGAGCACAGGCCGGGCGCGGTGGCTCAGGCCTGTAATCCCAGCACTTTGGGAGGCCGAGGAGGGCGGATCACGAGGTCAGGAGATCGAGACCATCCTGGCTAACACGGTGAAACCCCGTCTCTACTAAAAATACAAAAAATTAGCCGGGCCTGGTGGTGGGCGCCTGTAGTCCCAGCTACTCGGGAGGCTGAGGCAGGAGAATGGCGTGAACCCGGGAGGCGGAGCTTGCAGTGAGCCGAGATCGGGCCACACCACTCCAGCCTGGGGGACAGTGAGACTCCGTCTAAAAAAAAAAAAAAAAGAAGTTCACCCTATGCAGGCACTATAACTACGAGTCCCTCCCATCTGAGCCTTGCCTTCCAGACAACCCCACCAATACATAAGACAGAAAAAAAGCACCTTGCACCTTCCAGACTGACTTGTTTGCCAGCCGCATAGCACTGAGTCACCCTAGTTAATGATATGAGAGAGGAAGAATCACTCAGACGAATCCTGCTGGAATTTCTCACCTATAGGATCCATGAGATACAATGAAGTGGTCGTTGTTTTACCTTATTAAATTTGGGGTAGTTTCTTTTTTCTTTTTTTTTTCTTTTTTCTTTTTTTTTTTTGAGACGGAGTCTCACTCTGTGGCCCAAGCTGGAGTGCAGTGGCGCAATCTCGGCTCACCGCAAGCTCCGCCTCCCGGGTTCACACCATTCTCCTGCCTCAGCCACCCGAGTAGCTGGGACTACAGTCACCCACCACCACGCCCGGCTAACTTTTGTATTTTTAGTAGAGACGGGGTTTCACCGTGTTAGGCAGGATGGTCTCGATCTCCTGAACTCGTGATCCGCCCGTCTCAGCCTCCCAAAGTGCTGGGATTACAGGCGTGAGCCACAGCGCCCGGGCCATTTGGGGTAGTTTCTTAAGCAGCAATAGTAACTGTAACACTGACTCACTTCTACTGCCACCAATCACTATCCTCCTTTCCTGATTTACTTCCTCGTATGTACCATCTTTTAAAAAACAAATAATTAGGCCGGGTGCAGTGGCTCACGCCTGTAATCCCAGCACTTTGGGAGGCTGAGGCGGGCGGATCACGAGGTCAGGAGATCGAGACCATCCTAGCTAATATGGTGAAACGCCATCTCCGCTAAAAATACAAAAAATTAGCCAGGCGTGGTGACCGGGGCCTGCAGTCCCAGCTACTCGGGAGGCTGAGGCAAGAAAATGGCGTGAACCCGGGAGGCGGAGCTTGCAGTGAGCTGAGATCGCGCCACTGCACTCCAGCCTGGGCGACAGAGGGAGAGTCCGCCTCAAAATAATAATAATAATAATAATTAGTGAAAACTTCAATAACTTTTGCACCGGCCTAATAGTTGTAAAGAAACTATAAGCAAGTTCACAAAAGTTAAAACAAAAAATCAGCTATGAGAAGCAAATATGAATTATACCACTAACTGCTGAAAAGAAAGACTCTAAGACTGAAATTACCAAAAAAAAAAACCCTCAGCTGAAAACAAAACAAATAATCAAACTCTATTACTCTACTCTATTTCCATGAAGCGTACAAACTGTTCCTGTAAGTTTAACGATATTAAAATGTACAAAGATTAATAAAGTAAAAATCAAAGACTATTTATAACATCATCGATTTCACATAAAGTAGAATTTTAAAGGAAAAGGTATCCCATGGAAAACAATAAAATATTTAATATTACAAAGCAAAACACTAAATGAACGTCACATTTAATTGTGAAATCATTAGCATGTTTCTCCGTTATGACTTATTAAAGGATAAAATTTGAGCAATATAATGTATAAGACTTTTTGGCCGGGCGCGGTGGCTCACGCCTGTAGTCCCAGCACTTTGAGAGGCTGAGGCGGGCGGATCACGAGGTCAGCAAATCCAGACCATCCTGGCTAACACGGTGAAACCCTGTCTCTACTAAAAAAATACAAAAAAATTAGCCAGGCGTGGTGGCGGGCACCTGTAGTCCCAGCTACTTGGGAGGCTGAGGAATGGCGTGAACCTGGGAGGCGGAGCTTGCAGTGAGCCCAGATTGCGGCACTGCACTCCAGCCTGGGCAAGAGAGTGAGACTCCCAATCCAAAAAAAAAAGAAAAGAAAAGAAAAGAAAAACCGACTTTCATTAAAGCCTCCTGCAGAAATTTGCATAAGTAACAAGGAGCCAAATGTAATCACCAAGACAATGGGGAAAATGTCTCCAGAACATTAAAGACCTTAACACCTTCACGGCAGCTCTTTCCATCACAGGCTCAAAAGCCTAGTATGGAAAAATGATTTCCTGGAGCAGGTCCAGGTCCCCCTGCTGTGTGCAGCCTTGAGACTTGGTGCCCGGCATTCCAGCCACTCCAGCCATGGCTGGGGTGGGAGACACCAGGCTACAGCTCAGGCCATGTCTTCGGAGGTTGCAGCCCCAAGCCTTGGCAGCTTCCACAAGATGTTGAGCCTGCAGGCGCACAGAAGTCAAGAATTGAGGTTTGGGACCCTCCACCTAGATTTCAGAGAATGTATGGAAACACTTGGATGTTCAGGCAGAAGTTTGCTCTGGTGGGGTGCGGGGGCAGGAGCAGGGGCTCATGAAGAACCTCTTCCAGGGTAGTAGAGAATTGAAATGTGGGCTCTGTCTCCCATACAGAGTCCCTACTGGGGCAATGCCTAGTGGAGCTATGAGAAGAGGGCCGCTGCCCTCCAAACCCCCAATTGGTAGATCCACAAACAGTTTACACTGTGTACCTGGAAAAGCCACAGACAATGCCAGCCAGTGAAAGCAGCCAGGAGGGAGGCTGTACCCTGCAAAGCCACAGAGGCAGAGCTGCCCAAGGCCATGGGAGACCACCACTTGCGTCAGTGTGACCTGCATGTGAGACACGGAGTCAAAGGAGATCATTTTGGAACTTTAACGTTTAATGACTGCCCTATTGGATTTCAGACTTGCATGGAGCCTGTAGCCCCTTTGTTTTGACCAATGTCTCCCATCTGGAACAGGTGTAGATACACTGGGGGTACCCAATGCCTGTACCCCCATTGTATGTAGGAAGTAACTAACTTGCTTTTAGTTTTACAGGCTCATAGGTGGAAGGGACTTGTCTCAGATGAGACCTTGGACTGTGGACTTTTCAGTTAATGTTGAAACGAGTTAAAACTTTGGGGGACTGTTGGGAAGGCATGATTGATTTTGAAATGTGAGAACATGAGATTCAGGAGGCGCCAGGGGAAGAATGATATGGTTTGGCTATGTCCCTACCCAAATCTCATCTTGAATTGTAGCTCCCATAATCCCCATATGTCATGAAAGGGACCCAGTGGGAGGTAACTGAATCATGGGGATGGGTTTCTCCCTGTGTTGTTCTTGTGAAACCGAATAAGTCTCACAAGATCTGATGGTTTTATAAAGGGGAGTTCCCCTGCACATGCTCTCTCTCTTGCCTGCCACCATGTAAGACATGTCTTTGCTCCTCCTTTGCCTTCTGCCATGATTGTGAGGCTTCCCCAGCCACGTGGAACTGAGTCCATTAAACCTTTTTTTCTTTATAAATTACCCAGTCTCAGGTATTTCTTCATAGCAGTATGAAAGTGGACTAACACAGTATCAAACCCTGGTTTGGGGTAATAATCACTACCTTCTAGGTAACCAGAATGGAAAAAATATAACAGAAAAAAAATCCTAAAAATCATCCTGCGTACAAGAAAAATGAAACTGTATGCTGAATTCTCAGGGGGAGAAAACGTATTTAAAAATATATGACTTTCAAACCACAAGAAACTATAGACCATTGCTTTAAACTATTTGTCTATGAACAGTATGTAGAAACACATGGAATTTAGGAAATAGGAGATGAAGGCTACAATAACAAAAGAGGCTCATATCACAAAATGGGAGATAGCTGAGATGAGGCTTCTATGAAAACTAAAGTGCAAGGGCAGATTTTCCATCCACAGGGAAATCCGTGGAGAAAGAAACTGACACACTGAAAAGTTCAAGCAGCAATTGAATCAGAGCTCTGGAGGGCAAAGGAAGAGATGAACTAATGACAGAGAAGAAGGCGGATGGGTATGCCAGAGACCACAGGTTCCACCTCGAGAATAGTTTGTGTACTGGGGAAAGACACAAGGGCAAGGAGATCTGAAACAATAATCAAAGCTATCACTGAAGTACGAATAATAAAAGCACCAACCAGCTTCTAGGCAGGGAGGGGGAAGAAACAAGGAAGAGTTCTCCATATTTAAATAACAACTAGCCAAACTCCTGAATTTTACAAATAAATAAAAAAACTTCCTTAAAAATAAAAAGTCAGGCTTAGATAAGACTTTTTTTCTTCTCTGTTAACATTATTAGAAGACATAAAGATTTTAAGAGAATAAAAATATGATCAAGAGGATCATAAATATCAGGTTGTCTTTACCTGAGTACGAAGCAATGGCATCTGTATATCCAGCACTGATTTGTCCTTCCAATAAAAATTTACTCAAAGACATATGGGTACATATTAGAAAAATAATCAAAATTAATATTTCAAGGATTAGGAAGTTGTGAAGCCAAAATCCTGCAAGGGGACAATTGATTCAGTTAATGGAAAGATTTATTTTTCATATTTTATGATTATTTACCAAAATAATATTTTTAAAGTATAATTATAAAATAAAAATAAAATATTTAACAATACTATAATTATAATCATGTTCCAAGTTATAAAACAAGATAGTGAGAATTGTCAGTAAGATAGTAAGAATTCTAATACTATCTCAAAATAAAGGATACAGAAGGTTTCAGGGCAAGAGAAAGGGAAAACCTTCTATATCCTTTAGTTTGAGATAGTATTAAAGCTTTCTGTAGGCTCACTCAAAATGTCCGGATTCTGACCACATTTGAATGAGCACTCCCAACCTGACGATTCCTAGTCTAAGCCACACATATTTCCTCTTATGGTTATTGCAAAAGCTCCCTAACTGGTCTCCCAGCTTCTGCCGTTGATTCCTTTCAGCTATTTTTTACACAAGTGCCAGAGAAATCTCAGAAATGCAATTCAGATGATATCACTTCTTTGCTTATATCTTTCAATGTTGTTCCCCTCTACGTGTTCATGTATTCTCCCCTTTGACTCTCGCTTCTAAGTGGGAACATTTGGTTTTCTGTTCCTGCATTAGTTGGCTAAGGATAATGGCTTCCAGCTCCATCCATGTTCCTACAAAGGGCGTGATCTCATCTTTTATGGTGGCATAATATGCCATGGTGTATATATACCACATTTTCTTTATCCAGTCTACCATTGATGGGCATTTATGTTGATTCCATGCCTTTGCTACTGTGAATAGCGCTGCAATAAACATATGCATGCATGTGTCTTTATGACAGAACAATTTATATTCCTTTGGGTGTATACCCAGTAATAGGATTGCCGGGTCGAATGGTAGTTCTTTTAGGTCTTTGAGGAATCACCACACTGTCTTCCACAATGGCTGAACTAATTTACACTCCCACCAACAGTGTAGAAATGTTGCCTTTTCTCCACAATATTGCCAGCATGTTATTTTTTGGCTTTTTAATAATAACCATTCTGAATGGTGTGAGATAGTATCTCATTGTACTTCTGATGTGCATTTCTTTAATGATCAGTGATGCTGAGCTTTTTTTCTATGTTTGTTGGCTGCATGTATGTCTTATTTTGAAAAGGAGGGTGAAAGCTGGGAGGAGGGAGAGGATCAGGAAAGACAACTAGTGGGTAGCAGGTTTACCATGTGGGTAACAGAATAATCCGTACAACAAACCCCCATGACACAAGTTTACCTACATAACAAACCTGCACGTGTACCACTGAACTTAAAAGTTAAATTTAAAAAATAAAAAATAAAAAAATCTTTCAATGGTCCCATGTCAGTTTGAGGAACAGCCAAAGTCCTTAAAATGACGTACAAGGTGCTCGTTCCATCATCCGTCTTCTCATGTTTATTTCTCTGCCACCATCTACTAATACTCTTCCCCCTTCTCATTCTACTCCAGCTATAATGGCTTCCTCGATGCTGTTCTAAGAATAAGTCCACATGATTCCGACTCAGGGCTTTTGCCCAAGCTGTGGTCTCTCTTTGGAATGCTCTTTTTTCAGCAGAGCACGATTCCTCCTCATTTCCTTCAAGAAGTCTGTCGCCAAATGCCTTCTACCTGGTGTGTAATTGTCATGTGTGGCAGTTTTAAACATAGTCCAAAAACAGGTTGATATTCTTCTCATCAAAAAATAGGTCTATGTCTCCCTTCCCTAAATCTGGACGTGCTTGTGACTGCTACAATCAATAGAGTATGACAAATAATTCTACCTGACCTTTAAGGTGAGATAAAAAGAGACCAGGCCTTTTCCACCTGGTTCCCTTGGAGTGTTTGATCTGCGGAAAGCCAGCAGCCATATAAGAAGTTTACCCTGTGCAGGCCGGGCGCGGTGGCTCAGGCCTGTAATCCCAGCACTTTGGGAGGCCAAGGCGGGTGGATCACGAGGTCAGGAGATCGAGACCATCCTGGCTAACACGGTGAAACCCCGTCTCTACTAAAAATACAAAAAAATAGCTGGGCCTGGTGGTGGGCGCCTGTAGTCCCAGCTACTCGGGAGGCTGAGGCAGGAGAATGGCGTGAACCCGGGAGGCGGAGCTTGCAGTTAGCCGAGATCGGGCCACACCACTCCAGCCTGGGGGACAGTGAGACTCCGTCTCAAAAAAAAAAGAAAAAAAAAAAGTTTACCCTGTGCAGGCACTATAACTAAGAGTCCTTCCCATCTGAGCCTTGCCTTCCAGACAACTCCACCAATTTATAAGACAGAAAAAAAGCACCTTGCACCTTCCAGACTGACTTGTTTGCCAGCCGACTAGCACTGAGTCACCCTAGTTAATGATGTGAGAGAGGAAGAATCACTCAGATGAATCCTGCTGGAATTTCTCACCTATAGGATCCATGAGATATAATGAAGTGGTCGTTGTTTTACCTTATTAAATTTAGGGTAGTTTCTTTTTTCTTTTTCTTTTTTTTAATTTTTTTTTTTTTGAGACGGAGTCTCCCTCTGTCGCCCAGGCTGGACTGCAGTGGCGCGATCTCGGCTCACAGCAAGCTCCGCCTCCCGGGTTCACGCCATTCTCCTGCCTCAGCCTCCCGAGTAGCTGGGACTTAAGGCGCCCACCACCACCAGGCCAGGCTAACTTTTGTATTTTTAGTAGAGACAGAGTTTCACCGTATTAGGCAGGATGGTCTCGATCTCCTGAACTCATGATCCGCCCGTCTCAGCCTCCCAAACTGCTGGGATTACAGGCGTGAGCCACGGCACCCAGGCCATTTGGGTTAGTTTCTTAAGCAGCAATAGTAACTGTAACACTGACTCACTTCTACTGCCACCAATCACTATCCACTTTTCCTGATTTACTTCTTCCTATGTACCATCTTTTAAAAAACAAATAATTAGGCCGGGCTAAGTGGCTCACGCCTGTAATCCCAGCACTTTGGGAGGCTGAGGCGGGCGGATCACGAGGTCAGGAAATCGAGACCATCCTGGCTAACACGGTGAAACTCTGTCTCCACTAAAAATACAAAAAATTAGCTGGGCGTGGTGGTGGGTGCCTGCAGTCCCAGCTACTCGGGAGGCTGAGGCAGGAGAATGGCGTGAACCCAGGAGGCGGAGCTTGCAGTGAGCCCAGATGGCGCCACTGCACTCCAGCCTGGGCGACAGAGCGAGACTCCGTCTCAAAAAAAAAATAAAAATAAAAAATAAATAAAAAAAGATTTTTAATATATATATACAAGAATATGTGAAACAGTATGTTTTCAAGTTTCCATTGAATATTTTAAAAATAGATTATATAAAACCTCAATATATTTTTTAAAATAAAAACCACACAGGTCACATTACCTACTCAAAATTTAATTACATTAGAAATTAAGACAAAGTTAAAACAGGACAACCAGCACCCCTAGTATCACCCTCCTCAGAGTATTTAAAAATAGATTCCTTTAAATTATCTCTTTTTTTACAAGAATAAAATCTAATCAATTATTAGAAAGATAATCTCAAACTGAACTCAAAAGAAGAAGCAAAGCATCTTCAAAGTCAATAAGGGTGCTATAAATGCTTCTTGGACTCTGAAACTCTCTGACTTCCCATTCTACTCTCAGTTGTAGAAAACTCCCTGATTGTTAGGTTTTGGTGTGATTAGGTTAGGTTTACCCAGGTACTCCCCCCGTCTTAAGGCTGACGGATTATTAGCCTTAGTGACATGTGCAAGACTCCTTTGCCGTGTGAGGTATCAACAGGGTAACATGAGGAAATGAAGGTCATAGGGGCTATCTTAGACTTCTTCCTGCTACAACCTCTATTCACTTATTTTGAATCCTCAGAGTTTAATGAGCTCCTACTATGTTCTAGGTCCTTGCAATAGGAGTACAGCAGTGAACAAGACAAACATGGTTCTGGTCCTTGGAGTACAAAGTAAATGCTGAAAATTTAATAAATGGGTCAGTAGATAGATAGATGTATAAAGGTCTAAATGCACATTCAGAAAATAGCAGGAGAAGACTGAGACTCAGTATTATTGAATATGCTTTAAAGGCCCATGTGTCGTCTTGAATGAAAATGTTGCTCAATTTCTGATGAGGAGACTAATTCATCAATATCTGTTATCATTGACTGATGACCTCACATAATAAAAGATCTTGACTTGAGTGTACGTTAATAATCAACATAATGGGTAATGTATCAAAAGAGTATATGGAAGATAATAAAAAGATATAAATTGAAATCTTAAACAGTTTTGTGCTAAAATATGTTTAGAATTGCTTGAACCCAGGAGGCGGAGGTTGCAGTGAGCTGAGATTATGCCACTACACTCCAGCCTGGGCAACAAGATCCAACCTCCGTCTCAAACAAACAAACAAACAAACAAACAGAAACAACCCAAACAAACACAAAAAATTACTATAATTGTATCTCTTTTGACTATAGCCTGGAAGAAATCACTCTCTCCCCAACTTAAGGAAGGGGAGACTTATCTCTAGCCAAGCTTTGAGTATAAACATATAAAAAGTAATTTTCATTTTCTTGAAACTGACTGCATGAAAAGGCATATGGTGTTCCCAAAAAATGTCTGATGAGTGAGAATATTAAAATGACTAAACTGATGGGACATATTTAATTTAATATTTAAACTTGATAAAAAATAGTTAAGCATTTAACTCAAGAATTTCAAAATGGTACAGCAAAGCATACAAGCAAAATTAAAAGGAATGCTAATTACATATTAAGTTAGAAGGCAATAAATTATAAACAAAAACAGTAACAATTTATAAACATACACAAGTTCATTCTTTAACAAATAACCCATGATACAGAAAAATACAGCAAATGTGATAAAACAAAAACTGAGAAAACATAAAATTTAAAGTGAAAAAAAAAACAAAACATGCAGAAATTGTTTTAAAGACAAAAAATACTATCTTAGAAAATTAAATACGTGTTTCACTAAAATAAACATGTACTGCTTAAATGAATCTTAATTTAATTTTAAAAATAGTAAATAGGTTGCAGGCATCAATGTTTGCAAGAAATGTAAAACATTATTTTAAAAATTTTTATTAAAGTCCCTATAACCAGTGTTTTTAATAAGCATCTGTTTAAAACATCTTGTAAAATGGACCCCAGACTAGGAAATATGGATAAAGTTATAAAAAGTGGCTTCCTTTCAGTTCATTTTACAAAGCAAATATAACTATTACTAACTCTTGATGAAGTGAATACAAAAAGAATAAAATTACTAAACAGTATCCCTTATAAACATAGTTAAAATATTCTTAACTGAAAGAAAAAGGAACTGAATTCTACACTTACTAAGAAATCACCCACCCCAGTGATTTGGCATACAAAGATTTAATACTAGAAAATATGTATTAATATAATGCAACACAACAATAAAGCTATTTACCTTATATTGTACATTTACTGCTACAGACTAAATGTTTACATCCCTCTCAAATTCATATGTTGAAATGCTAACCGCCAGTGTGAGGGTTTTTGAAGGTGGGGCTTTTGGGAACTAATTAAGTCATGAGAGAGCAGCCCTCATTAATGGGTTTAGCACCCTTCTAAAGCAGCCCCCTGAACTCCCTTGCTCCTTCCCCAACTGAGGTTATAGAGAAAGGGCAGCCTTCTTTGAACTAGAACAAAAGTTTTTCCCAGACACCAGATTGGCTAGTACCTTGGTCTTAGATTTCCCAGACCCCAGAACTGTGAGAAATTCCTTTCTGTTGTTTATAAGCCACCAAGTCTATGGTATTCTGGTACAGCAGCCCATTTTTGATATTTATTTAATGATATTTAACATGCATGACTGATGAAATTTAACAAAGTAGTTATAGATATGTCCTTACCATGATTAAAAATAACTCTTAAATTGATGCATACTTTTATTATCTAGTTCTAGCCAAAGCCATAAGATGAAAACACAAATAAGAAACCACCTATATGGCACATGTATACCTATATAACAAACCTGCATGTTCCGTGCATGTATCCCAGAACTGAAAATCATATTTTAAAAAAATTTATTTATATAGAAAAAAAGAGAGCAAATGATATTTTTCAAAAACTGATAATTTAATTATGGTAAGTTCTGTGTGATATGTGCCTGATATGTGTGATATGTGTCTGATGTGATATGTGTGAGATGAAAAACACTAAGGGGGTATGTGATTTTGGGCATTCATGTGCCCATAAATCCTTGTTAGAATTAAAATATCACATTAAACCTCTCTCTTTCTTTTAATGTCCATGGTTTCTTTTATATGTTTTAGTAAGTGACACAGAGGAAAATACCGAGCGGACACCGTTTCTAAATTGGTAAACTGCCCTGAACTGCCACTTTACTCTTTTCTACAGCAAGTGTGGAAGATTAGAGTTCAGGCAAACATGTCATGTAAGTGGTGAAGATTCCCTTTTTCCACTGGGACAGCAGTAGAACTGAAGGGAAATCAGACAACAGCTACCTCAGCAGGAGAGCCTCAATGATGACACTTTTGCCTCAACAGTGGAAGCTGGTAGTTTCCAAAAATAGAGCTAAAAAGTGAATCAAGTTTTAAAGCACATTGAAAGTCACACGTAAAATTCATTATTACAGAAAAGCTATAAACCAATCACAGTAAATGAGTGAATTTAGAAATTAAATTTTAATATGAAAGGTTCATGTTGTCAAAACTGACTATGTTAGTCCATCTCAATGCTATAAAGGAATACCTGAGACTGGGTAATTTATAAAGAAAAGAGGAGTATTTGGCTGATGGTTTGCAGGCTGTACAAACAGGCCACCAGTATCTGCTCAGCTTCTGCTGAGGCCCGGGAAGCTGACAATCATGGCTTAAGGCAAAGGGGGAGCTGGCATATTACATGGGGAGAGAGGGAGCAAGGGAGATGCCAGGCTCTTTTAAACAACAAGATCTCTCGTGAATTCATAGAGCAAGAACTCACTCATTACCGGGAGGACAGCACAAAACCATTCATGGGGATCCACCCTTGGGAAACAAACACCTATTACTAGGCCCACCTCCAACACTGGAGGTCGCATTTCAACATGAGATTTGGAGGGGACAAACCATCCAAACCATATCACTAACGGAAAGTGATTGTTTAAATTGCTGTATTCAGTCCCTTGGCCTTTTTGAGAAATGCCATTCATTTCAGCCATCAAGCAAATTATTATTTGAGACATTTATACCTCTTCATCCTTTAAAAGTTTCAGAAGCATGAATTTAAAAAGTATTCATTGTAAATTTGAGGCTAGTCAAATTGATGTGGCATCTAAGTAGCACGGTGACGGGATGAGGAGACAAAGTCACGAGGGGAGGTAGGAAGAAGCAGAGAGAAAAAGAGAAATAGGAAGAGAGAAAAAGAAATGAGAGAGTATAAGAAAAATGAAGAAAGAGGAAAAGAAAAATGGTTTAAATGAGAGGCAAATGTCATCTGATGTTTTACCATGGGGCCATAGGGTATTTGAAGTTTCAGAAAATTCATAAGTTATTAAAAAATGTGACTCTAGGGTAGTGAGGTTATAACTTGTAAGAAAACAAGAAGTGATTCCTTTTAAGAGAACCTTCTTGGCCGGGTGCTGTGGCTCACGCCTGTAATCCCAGCACTTTGGGAGGCCGAGGCGGGTGGATCACGAGGTCAGGAGATCGAGACCATCCTGGTTAACACAGTGAAACCCCGTCTCTACTAAAGATACAAAAAATTAGCTGGGCGCCGTAGCGGGCACTTGTAGTCCCGGCTGCACGGGAGGCTGAGGCAGGAGAATGGCGTGAACCCGGGAGGCGGAGTTTGCACTGAGCAGAAATCGCGCCGCTGCACTCCAGCCTGGGGAACAATGGGGAACAAAGCAAGACTCCGTCTCAAAAAAAAAAAAGAAAAAAAAGAAAAAAGAAAAAGAGGAACTTCTTAAAGATGCGGTTGTCTTTCTTATGCTTCCTTTAGCTCTTTTTTACCTCTCCACGGATACAGATTTTTATACCAAATAGCTGGCATTAGCTAAACCAATGTCTAGGAGAACTGATCCTCACGAAGGAAAATCATAATTTATTATTTTTTTAATTCATGGCATTTATTTGTACAAGAAATATATTTCTATTTAAGAGAAAGTAGAAAACAAAGGAGAACAGAAACAACTTTTTTTTTTTTTTTTTTTTGAGACAGAATCTCGCTCTGTCGCCCAGGCTGGAGTGCAGTGGCACGATCTCAGCTCACTGCAAGCTCTGCCTCCCGGGTTCACGCCGTTCTCCTGCCTCAGCCTCCCGAGTAGCTGGGACTACAGGCGCCCGCCACCACGTCCGGCTAATTCTTTTGTATTTTTAGTAGAGACGGGGTTTCACTGTGTTAGCCAGGATGGTCTTGACCTCCTGACCTCGTGATCCGCCCGCCTCAGCCTCCCAAAGTGCTGGGATTGCAGGCGTGAGCCACAGCGCCCGGCCGAAAAAACTTTTTAAAATTTGTTTGGGGATCTCCCATATTTGCCAAAGTAATCCCACAAAAACAATTAACATTTGACTTTGAAAATTAAGACAAAAAATACAATGATGAATATTTTCTTGTAAAAGCAAAGACAGTAAAAATATTCAGATTTAAAATAAGCCTGAGAAAAAGCATGATTTCCTTGAGCTTACCTAAGTAAACTTATTTACAAGTGACTGTATCAATAATTAGCAAAAGTAAAAGTCATTATGAAATCCTCCAAATCTTTCAAAGTAAAGTACTATCTTACATTCAAGCATTGAGTTTGCCCATAAAATTATTTAAGCTCAACCTTTTCCTCAATCTCCAAAACTCTGGCGTGTAACTACACAAACACTTCAATAGGGGACAGAATCTCCTTTTATCATTCATTCTACCAAACATCAACTTCATAAGAATTAGAATCAAGTGTAATAAGAATGAACTATATAGAATCATTGATATAAATTTATAGGTGTTCAGACATAACCTTTAGACATATTTGTCAGTGTACATGTAAACAATACTCAATAACTTCTTTAATAGAGTTCTCCAGAGAAACAGAACCAATTGGATGTGGGTATATAACTCAGTTATATATTTCATCAGCTTCCTTTTTATGTAATAGAAACTAACTACAGCTAATGATGAATTTTTTTCATTCATTCATCATTAAAAGGGGAGAGAGAAATCCAGGCTGGGTTTGTGCCATTTTTCTTCCCTCACAGTTCTCTTCTTGCTGCATGATTCTTCCTTTCAGATATTAACCAGAAGGAATGGTTAGCCTGACTATAGCTCTAGAGGAGCAACACAGGCTCTGGATAATGAGGATGCACAGGCTTTAATCAGTCCTAGCAGGAGGTCTTGGCTTAGACAACTATGTAGTTGATGGTATCCCTATAGGAAAAAAAAAAATATATATATATATGTTTTTGTGGTAGCAGGACAGAGTCAGTTTCAGACATTTGTTCAACAACTGTTGGTGTTCAACATATATTAGTATTTTGCACTAGGTACTATGTGCTAAAAGTATAGTAAGGAATAAAAATAGGGAAATAAACAAAAACAAAATAAAGAAACAGAGAAAATTCCTATTACCCTTTAGGAAAAACAACATAAAATAAAGTAACAGAATCTAGAAATAGAGAATAACAAGATAGAAGCCTACTATATACCACCATTATCAACCTGTCAAAATAAACATTGTCAGTAATGAGACAAAATGGAATCATGTACCACCTGATAGGATGCAATGAAAAAAACGCAGCATCAATTCTGTGATATTCTTGCCAAAATGCATTGCCTGACTCTAGTCACAAGGAAACCTCAGAAAACCTAAAGGGAGCCATTCAAAAAAGAAGGAAGGGAAAAGGAAAAAGTAAGGGAAAGAGGAGAGGAGAAGGAAGGGGAGGGGGAAGGGAAGGGGAGAGGGAAGAGAAAAAGGAAGGGGAAAGCGAAGGAGAAAGGAAAGGAGAAAAGGAAGGAGAAGCAAAGCAAAGGAAAAAAAGAAGAAAATATGGGCCAGAAATCTTGGTTAAGTTAGGTCTAAAGATCTATTCTTGATACAAGGACATTAAAAAGACATGACAATGAAAGGCAATGCATGATTCTGAACTTGATCCTTTTGCTATGAAACATTATTGGGACTATTGGTGAATTTTTTTTTTTTTTTGAGACGGGGTCTCCGTCTGTCGCCCAGCCTGGAGTGCAGTGGCGCGGTCTGGGCTCACTGCAAGCCTGGCCTCCTGGGTTCACGCCATTCTCCTGCCTCAGCCTCCCGAGTAGCTGGGACTACAGGCACCCACCACCACGCCCGGCTAATTTTTTCCTTTTTTTTTTTTGTATTTTTAGTAGAGACGGGGTTTCACCGTGTTAGCCAGGATGGTCTTGATCGCCTGACCTCGTGACCCATCCGCCTCGGCCTCCCAAAGTGCTGGGATTACAGGCGTGAGCCACCGTGCCCGGCTGACTATTGGTGAAATTTTAATGCGGACTTGATAATTAGATGTAGCAATATATTAATATTAATTTTCTGGTTTTGTTCGTTGTACTGTGCACGTATTGCATTTGGGGGGGCACATATATTACTGTAATAGATTTGTAATATATAGAATTATATATATGTATATACATATATAGACACAATTGTGTTTGTAGAAAATATATATGAAAGCAAGGTTTTTCAACTTTGGCACTATCGCTTCTGACATTTGGGCCACATAATTCTTTGTTGGGGGCATTTCCTGTGAATTGCAGGATGTTTAGCGACTTGGTTTGCCTTTAATAACTAAATGACAGTAGCATCCTCCTCACACCTTTCCCCAGGCTAACAACTAAAAATATCTTGAGATATTATCAGATGTTTCCTGGAGGGCAAAACTCCCCCTGGTTGAGAATCAGTCTACTAAAGTATTTGGAGATGACAGAGCATCAGGTTCGTTTCTATATATTATTAAAGTATCTTTCAAAGTTGAAGGTAAAATTAAGACATTTTCGGAAAAATTAAATGGGCCAATTTGTCACCAGCAAATCTGTACTACAAAACATGCTAGCAGAAGTTTTTTGGCCTGAAGGGAAATAACATCGAATCTAAACTCCAGATTAGAGGAAATGAAAAGCATAGAAATGGTAAGTATATGAGTAACAGGAAATACTTTTTTTTAATCTGTCGATTTTGTTGAAGGGAAACTGACTATTTAAATTTAAAAAGATATCATTTTATTGTGGGGTTTATGATGTGGATAGAAAAACTTATACTAAAAAAAATCACAAAAGACAGAGGGGGAATAAAGGAAATGTTACCGTCATCAGTTTTTGTTGTTGTTGTTTTGGGTTTTTTTAATAGACTTTATTTTTAGGGCAGTTGTAAGTTCACAGCAAAATTGAAAGAAAGATACAAAGATTTCTCATACATCATTGTGTCCACACAGGCACAGCCTGACCCCTTGCTGTCATTCTCCTCTGGAGTGGCACATTACTTACCGCTGATGAACCTGCACTGGCACATCCTTATCACCAAGGTCCATAGTTATATTAGGGTCCACGCTTGCTGTCATACATTCTATGAGTTTAGGCAAATTCATATACCAGTATAGTATCATGCAGAATAGTTTTCTGCCCTGAAAGTCTTCTGTGCATATGAATAGGATAGGTGGAGCACAGATCACTTTTTAGGAAAATGTTGCCTTGTTTTGATTTGACAAAGTAGGCAACACTATCAATCACTGGAGAGAATGTAAAAATAGAACAGATGTCATCAGTTTTTTACATTATATATGAAGTTGTCAAAAATTACCTCGAAGTAAAATTTAGATTAGTTAAGTATAAATTGATGATTATTGTAATACAAATAACTCAATACAAAAAAGCGTTGCAACTAACTCATCTATGCAATTTAAAATGAATACTTAAAATACAATTAAACAAAAATACGAGAAGAGAAACAAGAGATTGTACAGTTTTTAAAAGTGGCAACACATTTCATTTAACATATTTATGAACTAAATTATTCAATTACAAGGTAGAGACTGTCATATTAGACAAAAGAATGAGACCCAACTAATGTTGTCTACCAGAAACATATATTAAACATAAAGACACAGATAGATGAAAAGTAAACCTACAAGAAAAGATAAACCATATACACAGCAAGCATTAGGAAGCTTGTGTGGCTATATTAGCAAAATGCAATGTAGACTGGAAAAGAGGGTGCATTATAAGAGAAAATGGGGGCATTTCATAATTATGAAATAACCAATTCATCGGAGGACAATAATATAAGCAATATTATTGTCCTCCGATGAATTGGTTATTATATTATTGTCCTAATATGACATATATGTCCATAATTATGAAATGCCCCCATTTCATAATTATGAAAGGGACACCAACTTAATAATAAAGCCTCATAATTCATGAAGGAAAAAGCAGAATTGAAGGGAGAAATGGATAAATGACAATAATAATTAAAGATTTTAACATCCCTCTGTTCATCACTGATTGAACAGTAAGACAAACCATTCGTATGGCTATAGAACATTTCAACTTCATTATAAATCACCTTGATCTTATTGACATTTATAAAAACTACATTTCAAATGCTGAATATACGTTGTTTTCTTGTGTATTGAAAGCACCACCAACATAGGCCAAATGCTGAATCAAAGAGTAAGTTTAAATGAATTTAAGCTTTAGATTTTATAGAATATATTCTCTGATCACAATAAAATTTAATTTGAAATCGATGACATAAGAGATTCCTAGGAAACCCCCAAATAGTTGTAAATAACATGAAACACTATTTAACTCATAGTTCATAAAAGAAATCAAAAGATAATTTAGAAAAAATATGAAATAAGGAAAACAGTATATTAAATAAACATCTGCACCTAGATGTTTATTGCAGCACTATTCACAATAGGCAAGATATGGAATCAACCTAAGGGTCCAGCAACAGATGATGGTTAAAGAAAATGTGGTATATAGGCCGGGCACGGTGGCTCACGCCTGCAATCCCAGCACTTTGGAAGGCCAAGATGGGTGGATCACTGGAGGTCAGGAGTTCGAGACTAGCCTGGCCACCATGGTGAAACCCCATCTCTACTACAAATATAAAAATTAGCTGGGCATGGTGGCACGTCCCCAGCTACTCGGGAGGCTGAGGTGGAAGATCACTTGAATCCGAGAGGCAGAGGTTACAGTGAGCCAAGATCACACCATTGCACTCCAGAGCAAGACTCCATCTCAAGAAGGGAAAGGAAGGAGAGGGGAGGGGAGAGGAGGGGAAGGGAGGGGACAGGAGGGGAAAAGGAATAGATACACAATGAAGTACTATTCGGCCATAAAAGCAACGTGCATAGAAATGGAGTGTATTATGTGAGTGAAATGAGCCAAGAAGAGAAAGTTAAACATTACAGCTTCTCACTCATATGTGGAAGCTAAAATATTTTGATCTTATAGAAGTTAAAACAGAGGATGCTAGAGGCTGGAAAGTATAAGAGGGAGGGAGGGATAGGGAGAGATTTGTTAAAAGATTCAAAATTAAAGCTAGATAGGAGGAATAAGTTCTAATGCTCTATACCATTATGGTATGACAATAGTTAACAATAATATATAGCTTCAAATAGTTAGGAAAGGATATTGAATGTTCCCAAAACAAAGAAATGATAAATGTTTGCAATGATGGATATGCTAATTACCATCACCTCATCAGGGTAATTAAATATATACACTATGAGTACTGAAACATCACTATGTACCCATAAATATGCACAATTATTATGTGCCAATTAAAAAAATAAAATAAAACAAAATTATGATAATAAAAGCTTCATATTTGTGGTGTAGAGTTAAATTGAGAGGGTAATTTATTATTTGAAATTCTTCTATTAGAAAAATACATAGGTTTAAAAGTCAATGAAAAAATAAACAAATAAAACGTAATTTGAAAAAATAAAATAACAGGTAATGAAAGAAATAAATGAAATTGAAAGTAAATAAATTCACAAAGTGAAAAGTTCCTTTGAAAAAATCAGTAAAGTTGTTACATACTAGTAAGACTAAGAAAAAAGGACTGATAAAAGAAGAAATATCATTACAGAACCTCTATATTTAAATGATAATAACTATTATGAACAATTCCATACTCAAGAATTTGGCAGCTTAAAGTTCTTTAAAGAGACAAATTACCAAAGCTTATTTAAGAACAAATTCATAATGTGAATTTTTCTGTATCTATATGTATCCATATAGTCTAGGTTTTCTAATTTCTGGCCTATGGTTGCTCATAGTAGCCTCTAATGATCCTTACAATTTCAACAAAGAAATTCAGAAGAAATTGAAAAATTTATTGAAGCAGATAAAAACGGCAACACAACATACCAAAACCTATGGGATACAGCAAACAGCAGTAGTAAGAGGGAAATTTATACCTATAATTTCCAAGATCAAAAAAGTGAAAAACCTCAAATAAATAACCTGATGATACATCTTTTTTTAAGGTCACTATAAATTTTAATCTATGATATAAAATATTACCTACAGATATAATTGAACATCAGGTATCAGAAAATAAAACATAACAATGAAATGCAATTTTGTAAATACTTCTATGGTACAAGCATTATTTTCCTCAGATTCAACCTTTTAATTGTGTTTTGTTTGCTTTCTGAAAATCACACTTTATAAAGAACACAAGTAGAGCTTGTTAAAATGATTGTCACAGATGTACTGTTTACTAATTCAAAAAATACTACATTCATTCGCTCATATCAATTTTATTCATTAATTATGAAGAAGAAAATATAATATTCCATGCTTGTCATGAAATAGCGGTTTCTTCTTCCAGTCTAATCAGGGAACTAATAAATGCTTAGTTCATGGCAAAACTTCCATTTGATTTACATTGACTTAATTACCTCTTAGGGTCTAGCCTCATCAATGGAGAAAAAGCACTTTTTCTTGAGGCAACAGCACATTAACAGCACTGAATACAAAATATGGCAAATTCAATGGCTGTCAGCATTGCTTTAGGAATTTTGAGACTATAAAAAAACTATAACCATGAATAAAAGAAAAGGGCTTATTAATATCTTCTTTTTGGGAGAGTGATACATTCTGAAGGTTTCTTGTTATTCTGTTGAATAGCAAGGACTTCCAAACTTAAGTGTCTTAAGGCTGAAAATTAGTTACATTCCTCAGATTTTAGCCTTATTAATGAAATTCCAAAAGTATTATAAGATTTAGTATGTCTTGAAATTATAAATTTGTAACAGATATTTTTCAAAATACATGCCTTCAAACAACTTAAATGCAAAAATCATTCATTCTTAATAATACCTAGCAGTTCATCCCTTGCTTCCCAGAAGTACTCATACAAACATGTGAATTTAAAAAATAGATTTTTCTGTTCAAAAAATAAAGCTTCTGCCCTTTTAAAAACTTGTCAGGCTTTCATTTGCCAAAATGTTGAAAACTGCACATATTCAAACATAGTTCCCGTAGGAACACATATTCCTCAACTCTCACACCTTTGAAGACACAGGAGACGGGCAATATAAATGTTCCCTTCTTTCCAGCTGATGTTAAATAGTTAGGTTTGCTTCATGAGATTATCGGAATAAAGGGTTAAATTTTCATTTTCCATTACTCTATCTAGTAAAATTAGACTTAAAGTAGGTAGAATACTACCAGAGGAATTACACAGTGATTGGCAAACTGGCCTAAAATAATCAGGCTTTTTATTTATACTTCCCTTTTTAAAGTTGTCATTTGACAACAGCTTCCATCTTTAACAGCAGGCAAAAGAAAATGAGGTGCCATGCTATATTAATTAAAATATTCCACAATGAAAGAAAATACAAAACCTGAAAATAACTTCAGTGCTATAGACATTTAAAAAGTTACAATGGTTAAAACTCTGAATAAAAAGATCTTGAGAACAGGTACATTTCAAAGCAATATTTTACACGCTTTGGAAAAAATAGCTATTTTTCAAATAACTTGATATATGGTTTACATATTTCATGCAGTCTCTGAGGTTTTTTTTCTCTACAATACTGTTTTGCATTAAAGTCTCTCATGTTGTTTACCAGTAATTGTTTCCTTAGGCTGAAATAAAACTTTGCTTGTTCATTAGTTTTCTGTATATCCCATTTGGTTTTGAAAGCAGCTCTTCGTGTTTTCCATATTCAGTAATTTTTCCTTGGTCAAGAACAGCAACCATATTAGCATTCTTAATGGTGGAGAGATGATGGGCAATAACTAACGCTGTTCTTCCATCCATCAGTGGATCTAGAGCTTCTTGAACAAGGTACTCATTTTCAGCATCCAGCGCACTGGTTGCTTCATCTAGGAGAAGAATTTTGGGATTCTTCAGCAGAGCACGGGCAATTGCAATCCGCTGTTTCTGCCCACCTGAGAGGAGAACACCCTTTTCTCCAACCACAGTGTTGAACCCTTGGGGGAAATTCCGGATCAAGACCACTGCATTGGCCACTTCAGCCACTCTCTGGACTTGCTCAGCGGTCACAGAGGAAGGCCATCAGCACCATAAGCAATGTTCTCAGTGATAGAGCAAGAAAACAAAATGGGTTTCCTGTCTCACTGTCCCAATCTTGGATCTCAGCCACACTGGGTTTAGCTGACGGATGTCATGGCCATCAAGACTGATAGTTCCAGAAGCAGGGTCGAACAACCTCAGCAGGAGCGAAAGCACTGTTGATTTGCCAGAACCACCTGGGCCAACCAGTGCCGTGACAGATCCTGACGGAATGGAAAGGCTGAAATCCTGAAATATGGGCGCCTCTGGGCAAGCGGGATCGGCAAAATGCACGTTCTTAAACTCCAAAGCACCCTGGAAGCTTTTCTCATTTAAGATAACCCTTCCCCCTCCTTAAAAGGCAGATTGGGCTCTCTCTCCAGGAGCTCCCAGAGGCGCCCCCCGGCACCCAGTCCTTTCATCAGCTCCGAGTAGAAAAAGCTCAGACCTCCAATGCTTATTCCAACCCCGAAAGCATACATAGGAAGGAAGAGAGTTCACCCATGGTCATGTGGGCACTGCCCATCAGCAGCCCCCCTTTGTACAGGACAGAAAGCACAATCAGGTTTCCGGACAGCCTAGTTCTCCAAAGAAGCCAGCCTGAGCGAATGCCGCTTTCCTTGCTGACTACATCACATGGTCCACTTTGCTGGCCTATTTTTCTATTTCAGTCATTTCTTTCCCAAAAGCTCGAACAGTTCTTAACATTTCCAATACGTTCCTCCTGAGTGGCTTGTGCCAGCGAATCCTGGGTGACTTTGGTCAGTTTCCGTAGATATCGTCCATAAATTACATCAATGATTGACACTAGAGGCACCACACTCACAACAAAGGTGGCCCGATTAGGTGAGACACAAAACATCGTCCTGATGCCTACAGAAGCCCGGGCCCCGGCCCTGAGCCCATCTGAGAGGTTTTCAGTCACTGAGCGCCCCAGGAGTGCAGTGTCCGATGAGAGGCGGTTAATCAATTCCCCTGTGCCAGCCTTGTCAGAGAAAGCAACCTCCTGCCCCAGAATGGAGGAGAATAACGAAGTTCTCAGCCTCTTCACAACGCGCTGACGTGAAGTTTGCATGAGGTAGACACGAATGGCATTGGCGGCAGCACCACACAGAAACACGCCACTGAGGCCAAGGCAGAGGCGGGTCAGGTTGTCGCTGTAGTCCACAGTGGGGTTGGTATAGATGGCATCGATGATCTTCCCCAGGAAGAAAGGGGCAGACATGGAGATAACACCGGACATCGGAGAAATCCAACCGCAGCTGCCAGCCTCTGGCGCTCAGGGAACTCCAGCCCCAGGAGCTTCCCGGCCTCCGAGAGTCCGGGCGCCATGGGTCGTAGCCGCTGGTCGTCCCGGGAAGGCGCCGCCCGCCCGCTCCGCCAGGCCTCCTCCCCTGCCCAGGCAGTGGCGGTGGGACCGCCCGGGAACCCGGCGCGCGGGAGCCGAGGAGCGCCCGGCCGGCAAGAGCCCCGCACCTGCAGCTGCCGGGCCCAAGCCCACAGCCCCGGGAGCCGTCCGAGGCCCGCGTGGCCCCCCGAGCCGCCCAGACCCCCGCCCCGGCAGCAGCTCCTCCAGCGGCGCGCGGCTCCAACGCCCCAGAGCAGCGCCGGCCCCGCGCCCCATAGCCGCGCCAGCCTCGGGGCAGTGAAGGGCGATATGGACTGGGGGCGCGGCTGGCCGGGGCCCACACACAGGCTACCGGCAGGAGCCGCCCTGGCTCTGCGGGGCCCGTGGCGCCGATACATCTTAAAAGAACTAGAAAAGCAAGAATAAACCAGACCCAAAATAAGTATAGAAGAAAGGAAAGAATAAAGATAAGAGCAAAAATTAATGAAATTGAAATGAAAAAATACAAAATATGAACAAAACGAAAAGTTCGTTTTTTAAAAAAGATAAACCAAACCAGTAACCTTTAGCCACACTAAAAAAAAAACAAAAAACCCTAAATAAATAAAATCAAGATGAAAACGGGGACATTTTCATTGATACTGTAGAAATTCTAAGGATCATTAGAGGCTAGTATGAGCAACTATAGACCAATAAATTAGAAAATCTAGAATAAATGGATACTTTCCTAGATACATACAACCTAGCAAGAATGAACCACAAAGAAATCCAAAACCTGAAAAGACCAATAAGTAGTGAGACGGAAACAATTTTCCCAGGAAAAGCCGGGTGCAGTGGCTCACGCGTGTAATCCCAGCACTTTGGGAAGCCGAGGCGGGCGGATCACGAGGTCAGGAGATGGAGACCATCCTGGCTAACACGGTCAAACCCCGTCTCTACTAAAAAAAATACAAAAAAAAAAAAAAAATTAGCTGGGCATGGTGGCGGGTGCCTCTAGTCCCAGCTACTCAGGAGGCTGAGGTAGGAGAATGGCGTGAACCTGAGGGGCGGAGCCTGCAGTGAGTCGAGATCAGGCCACTGCACTCCAGCCTGGGCGACAGAGCGAGACGCCCTCTCAAAAAATAAAAAAAAGTTTCCCGGGAAAGAAAAGCCCAAGACCCGACGGCTTTACTCCTGAATTTTACCAAATATTTTTAAAAGTAGCACAAAATGCAGCAGCAGGATTCTCCTGCCCCAGCCTCCTAAGTAGCTGGGGCTACAGGTATGCACCACCACGCCTGACTAATTTAAAACTGTTTTTGTAGAGACAAGATCTCACTATGTTGCCCAGGCTGGTCTCAAACTCCTAGGTAAAATGATCCTCCCACCTCTGCCTCCCAAAGTGTTAAAATTGCAGGCATAAGCCAATTTTTTTTTTTTTTTTTTTTTAGTAGAGACGGGTTTGACCGTGTTAGGCAGGATGGCCTCGATCTCCTGACCTTGTGATTTTCAAAGCTGTTCGAGGGCATTTATCAGGCTTTTAACTCTAGGTACTCTTTCCCACAGTGTGAAGGCCAAGAGAAGGGATCCTGGGCTCTCTTCCCTGGCCCCAGGATGGGAATTCAGGGGGAAAAGGTCACCTATTCTCCTATTCTTATCCCACAAAAGAAAACTTATGCATCAGTTGTCAAGCTAAGGAGCTTCAGAGTCCACAAATAGGGAAATTGCTAAGAGCTTATCAGTAGTGTCCACTACCCATCCCCACCTGGGGTCACGTGGAGAATGATGGTGGGGGCGACGATCTTGTCCTACTTCAGGTGAAAAGCAGGGGTGTGGGGGGGTTTCATTGTGAAGGGCTCCTTTGTTAAAATTCCTTCCAATTCCAGGAAAAACATGCACTCGAAAGCCATTATCTCTTTTACTTCTTACTAGGGAACTTCCAGGAAAGAGACGGGGGGGGGGTGGGGGGTGGGGGGTGGGGAAGAAGAGGGCAAAACAGCTGCAGTGAATGTAGTCACCTCTCCGATTGCTTTTCTTGTTGCAGAATATTTCACATGCCAGGATTTTCCTTCTTGTCCTCCGGACTGTTGATACACCCAACATCTTAATACGCTTTCAATCACAAGTTAAAGACATCCAGAGCCAGATTGCTTGAGCCTAGGAGTTCCAGACCGGCCTGGACAACATGGTGAAACCCAGTCATATATATTTTTTTTTAGGGGGAAATTTGCTCTTGCTGTCCAGGCTGGAGTGCAGTGGCGAGGTCTCAGCTTGCCAGACCTCCGTCTCCGGGGTTTGGGTGGTTCTCCTGCCAAAGCCTCCCGAGTGGCTGGGATTGCGGTGTGAGCCACCATGCCCGACTAATTCCTTAACTGTGCAACTACAAGGTCACTAAACAAATAAACTCAAGTCACAAAACATATTTTTCCTTAAATAGTAAAAAATAATATAATGCATGTTTCAATTAAATAACAATCTTTGTTTCTCGCTTCTATAATATACTTCTCCCTGCACAGATCTCCCCCTTCGCCCCACATAATGCTTGAAAGGTA
Organism: Homo sapiens; assembly: GCF_000001405.40. NCBI lineage: Eukaryota > Metazoa > Chordata > Mammalia > Primates > Hominidae > Homo > Homo sapiens. Next base: position 147,248 of record NT_187659.1, on the reverse strand, counting down.
ACTCTTGGTTCAGTGCTCAATCCTTTAAATGTTAATCCGACTGGGCCGGTGCACCTAAATAATTAATAAATGTCCTCCTAAACCCCATGAGTCTATCTAATTCCTTAAAAATCCCTCTACAGGACTGCAGGTGTGAGCCACTGCACCCCGCCTAATTTATTAATCAGAGAGGAATAGATCGGCCTGGCGTGGTGGCTCACGCTTGTGATCCAGGGACTTTGGATGATGGAGCACTGGGGATCACTTGAGCCTAGGAGATCCAGACTGGCCTGGGCAACATGGTGGAACTCGGTCTCTCTCTTTTTTTTGTTTTTTTGGAGGCAGAGTTTTGCTCTTGTTGCCCAGGCTGGAGTGCAGTGGTGCAGTCTCGGCTCCCTGCCACCTCCACCTCTTGGGTTTGGGTGGTTCTCCTGCCTCAGCCTCCCTAGTGGCTGAGATTGCAGGTGTGAGCCACCATGCCCGGCTAATTTTCTTTTTTTTTTTCTTTTGGTACACACAGGGTTTCTCCCTGTTGGTCAGGCTGGTCTCAAACTCAGGACCTCAGGTTATCCGCCTGCCTTGGCTTCCGGGGATGCTGGGATTGCAGGCGTGAGCCAGCGCGCAAGGCCCAATTGATTAATCAGAAAAAAATAAATCAGCCTGGCGTGGTGGTTCACGCTTGTGATCCCAGGACGTCGGACGGCCGAGCGCTGGGGATCACTTGAGCCTAGGAGTTCCACACCGGCTTGGGCAACATGGTGAAACCCGGTCTCTCTTTTTTTTGGCGGGGGGGGTACAGGCAGGGTTTCTCCATATTCATCAGGCTGGTCTCAAACTCCCGACCTCAGGTTATCTGCCCACCTCCTCGGCCTCTGGGGATGCTGGGATTGCAGGCGTGAGCCAGCGCGCCCGGTCCAGTTTATTAATCATAAAGGACTAGATCGGCCTGGCATGGTGGCTCACGCTTGTGATCCCAGGAATTTGGACGGCAAGCGCGGCGGATCACTTGAGCCTAGGAGTTCCAGACCTGCCTGGGTAACATGGTGAAACCTGGTCACTTTTTGTTTGTTTTGAGGCGGAGATTCGCTCTTGTTGCCCAGCCTGGAGTGCAGTGGTGAGGTCTTGGCTCAACGGGCCTCCGCCTCCAGGGTTTGGGTGGTTCTCCTGCCACAGCCTCCCGAGTGGCTGGGATTGCACGCGTGAGCCACCATGCCCAGCTCATTTTGTTTTTTGTTTGTTTTTGTTTTTATTGTTGGAGATGGGGTTTCTCCATGTTCATAAGGCTGGTCTCAAACTTCCCACCTCAGGTTATCCGCCCGCCTCGGCGTCCGGAGGTGCTGGGATTGCAAGCGTGAGCCAGCGCGCAAGGCCTAATCTATAAATCAGAAAGGAATAGGGCCGGGGATCCCTTGAGCCTAGGAATTCCAGACAGGCCGGGGCAACACGGTGAAACCCGCTCTCTCTTTTTTTTTTTTTTTTTTTTTTTTTTTTTTGCGGCAGTTTCACTCTTGTTGCCCGGTTGGAGTGCAGTGGCGCGGTCTCAGCTCCCCGCAGCCTCCGCTTCCCGGATTTGGGTGGTTCTCCTGCCTCAGCTTACCAAGTAGCTGAGATTGCAGGCATGAGCCAACATGCCCAGCTCTTTTTGTATTTTTTTTTTTTTTTTTTTTTTTGGTATAGACGGGGTTTCTCCCTTCGTCAGGGTAGTCTCAAACTCCTGACCTCAGATTACCCGTCTGCTTCGACCTCCCGGGGTGGTGGGATTGCAGGCGTGAGCCACCATGCCCAGCTTATTTTTTTTTCTTTTTTGGTAGAGACGGGTTTCTCCATGTTGGTCAGGCTGGTCTCAAACTCCCGACCTCAGGTGATCCGCCCGCCTCGGCCTCCCAGGGTGGTGGGGTTGCAGGAGGGAGCCACCGCGCCGGGCGCAATTTATTAATGAGAAAGGAACAGATGGGCCTGGCGTGGCGGCTCATGCTTGTGATCCCAGGACTTCCGATGGCCGAGCGCTGCGGATCGCTTGAGCCTAGGAGTTACACGCCGGCCTGGGCAACATGGTGAAACTCAGTCTCTCTCTCTCTCTCTCTTTTTTTTTTTTTGAGAGGGAGTTTCACTCTTGTTGCCCAGGCTGGAGTGCAGTGGCAGGGTCTCAGCTCCCCGCAGCCTCAGCCTCCCGGGTTTGGGTGGTTCTCCTGGCTCAGCCTCCCGAGTGGCTGGGATTGCAAGCGTGAGCCACCATGCCCTGCTAATTTTTTTTTTTTTTTTTTTTTTTTTTTGGTAGAGATGGGGTTTCTCCATGTTACTCAGGCTGGCCTCAATCTGACCTCAGGTTATCCGCCCGCCTCAGCCTCCCGGGGTGCTGGGATCGCAGGCGTGAACCACCGCAACCGGCCCAATTTTTAATCAGACAGGAATAGATCGGCCTGGCGTCATGGCTCACGCTTGTGATCCTAGGATTTTGGACGGCTGAGTGTGGCAAATCGCTTGAGCCTAGGAGATCCAGACCCGCTTGGGCAACATGGTGAAACCTGTTTTTTTTTTTTCTGAGACGGAGTTTCCCTCTTGTTGCCCAGGCTGGAGTGCAGTGGCGCGGTCTCGGCTCGCCGGGCCTCCGCCTCCCGGGTTTGGGTGATTCTCCTGCTTCAGCCTCCTGAGTGGCTGGGATCAAGGGCGTGAGCCACCAAGCCTGGCTACTTTTATTTATTTATTTATTTATTTATTTATTTATTTATTTAGGTTGAGATGGGGTTTCTCCATGTTGGTCGGGCTGGTCTCCTGCTCCTCACCTGGGGAGATCCGCCGGCCTCGGCCTCCAGGGGTGGTGCGATTGCAGGCGTGAGTCACTGTGCCTGGCCGGAAACCCAGTCCCTTAACGGAAAAACAAAACAAAAACCACAAAGATTAGCCAGACCTGGTGGGCCCCCCTGGGTACTCCCAGCTACCCTGAAGGCTGATGCAGGAGGATTGCTTGAGCCCGGGGTGGAGGTGGCAGTGAGCCATGATGGCGCTGCTGCAGTCCAGACTGGGTGATAGAGCAGGACTGTGTCTCAGGAAAAGGGAAAGGAAAAAAAGAATAATAAAGAAAAAGAAGTATATAAAATTGCTAAATCCAGGAACAGCTTCACAGTATATTGAGAGAAATAGAGGCAAAGGTTAGCAGACACCAATGTTCACTTAGTGGAACTGCAGTTGTCCCCAGACAGGAGGCTGCTACTTTTACAAAAGAAATCTATTATTGACAAAAAAAAAAAAAGGTGGTTTGTTACAATACACAAATAGCTAAACTTTATATAGCCACGACCCTCTTCTAGCACTGCTCTAAGCCTTTTCCTGCTCTGGAATAGCTACTATTGTTACCTCCATTGTAGAGAAAACAGATGGGGGAGGTTGTTGTGGAAGGACCAGGGAAACTGACTATGAAATTGACTTGTAAGTTGAGGACTTAAAGGTTCTTCCTGCTTTGCTCCTTACATTGCCACATTTTAGTTAACATACCTCTTAAAATACTGGTCCTTTCTGTATTTGGAGGGACTCCTCTTGCAGTTTGAAGTTTTTTCTTACACTAAGCATCTGGTTAGAAGATCATCTCCATTTTATGTCAGTTTAAGTTTAGACATTGTTCAGTAAGGAATGTAAATATGAGCAAACAGTTATCTGATTGAAATAGATAAACTAGAAAAAAAGTCACCTATGAGAAAGTCAACAAAATGTCAACTCTGGATTTGTGGCTATTTTCAGAATATTAATTTTTTGATATTTAATGGCATTGTGAATATATTTATTTTTAAGAATTCCTTGTCTTCTACAGATACATATAAGGTAATTAAAAATGATAGGATGTATAGGTTTTACTTCAAAATCATTCAGAGGAAGAAGGAATGTATATAAATGAAGTGGGAATATAAATGAAACAAAACTGGCTGTGGCCAGGTGTGGTGGCTCACGCCTGTAGTCTCAGCACTTTGGGAGACCGAGGCAGGTGGATCACCTGAGGTCAGGAGTTCAAGACCAGCCTGGCCAACGTGGTGAAACACCATCTCTACTAAAAATACAACAATTAGCCGGATGTGGTGCCGGGTGCCTGTAATCCCAGCTACTCGGGAAGCTGAGGCAGGAGAATCGCTTGAACCTGGGAGGTGGAAGTTGCAGTGAGCCAAGATCATGCCACTGCACTCCAGCCTGGGCAACCACAGCAAAATCCCACCTTTAAAAACAAACAAACAAACAAAAAACAACCAAAAAAAAAAAAAAACTGTCCATACCATGAATGAAAAATTGTTGATGATGTGTATATGTAGGGCAATTATATCATTTATTATATATAATATATATATTATTTTTCTCAACTTTTTTTTACATCTGAAACTTTCTATTGAACACATGGACATGTCCCTTGATAACTGGGGCTGCTTCCCCATTATTCTCTCAGCAGCCCTTCTGATTTTCACTCCATCTTCATTCTTAGAGATTCTGGATTTTATTTTTTTTTGGGGGAAGTTCAAGTATGTCTTTGCAAGGATTATCCAGCATGTCTACCTACTCAATCATATTATCAGAAACAGAAAAAGTGTCCAGATTCTTGTCTTGTCCTGTTCAGATTTTTTAAATTCCAAGAACAGTCACCTTCTACCAGACACTCTGATGTTGGAAGACAAAGCATATTTGGTAAGTGGCATGATTTCTGGGCTCCGATTTAGAACAGTCACAGCTTTCAACAATCCAAAAATAGCTGACTGTGACTCACCATATTTAGAAAGATGGAGATTATTAAAAAAAGAAAACCTTAATTTATTATGTGACCGCTAAGTGTCTCGGCTGAAAATTGTAAAGATAGAAAGGTAAATCAAAAGATACAGAGACTGTAATCATGCAGTTAATAAAGCGCTAAATCAAAATGTATTTGGCATATGTGAAAGAGTTTAATTTTATCCCATTTTCTACTGGCACTATAGGTATTTGTAAGTACATATAAAACTACAGTGTTACATATAAACTACCAAAAAGGAACTTAAGAAACGAGACTAATCTAGCAACTTTATTTAAAAGTTTATCTTAAGGGAATAATTAAGGATGTCCATACAAAAGGATTTAGCCATGACACGAGAATGTTCTTCCTGGCAAATCAATGGAAATTATTAAATGTGCAAAAGGGAACTGTTGGAATAAATTCTAATGCCTTCATATGATCGTATGTCGTAACCTTTTAAAATGATATTAAAGAGTTGCATACATTGACTTAAACAGATATTCATAACACATCACTGAATAGGAGAAATACGGGCCAGCAAAGAACATAGAGTTGGTCCAATTTCTACAAAAAAAAGTAGACTAATAGCATGACAGCAGGGAAGGGGGAATATGTCAATGTATGTGTGTATATATATGTATGCATAGCAAGTATGAACTTGAAAGGATATATATCAAATTGTTTACACAGATTACCTCAGAGAGGTAAATAACTGGCCTTTGGTGTTCTGTGTTCCATAGATTCTGAATTTTCTTTTTTTATTTAAATAGAGATGGGATCTTAGCCAGGAGCAGTGGCTCACACCTGTAATCCCAGCACTTTGGGAGGCTGAGGAGGGCGGATTGCTTAAGGCCAGGAGTTCAAGACCAATCTGGCCAACATGGCAAAACTCTGTCTCTACTAAAAATCCAAAAATTAGCCAGGCGCAGTGGCTTATGCCTATAACCCCAGGTACTCGGGAGGCTGAGGCATAAGAATTGCTTGAACCAGGAGGCGGAGGTTGCAGTGAGCAGAGATTGCACCACTGCACTCCAGCTTAGGCAACAGACCGAGACTCTGTCAAAAAATAAAAACAAAACAAAACACCACCACCAACAACAAAACAGTAATAAAGAGAAAATCTTATGGACAGGAGCAATGTCTCATGCCTGTAACCCCAGTGCTTTGGGAGGCCAAGATGGGAGAATCGCTTGAGCCCAGGAGTTCAAGACCAGCATGGGCAACATAGCAAGACCTTTTCTCTACAAAAAATTTAAAAATTAGCCAGGCATAGTAGTGCATGCTTATACTCCCAGCTACCTGGGAGGCTGAGGTGGGAGGATCACTTGAGCATGAGAGTTGGAGGTTGCAGTGAACTGTGATCACACCACTGGGAAGCCATGACCCCATCCCTGCCTTCTTCCTCTGTCCTATGCTAGCAATAAGTAAGTTTCCCAGCCACAAATAATTATTAGAACCTCCTCCCCATGTGCCACCTCCAACCACCGCTAGGTATGATACAGGGGTGGCCCTACCCTCTGGAATATACAAAACCTTACACAGACACAATATATACACCGGGGAAGGGGGGCCACCCCAGCAGCCCATGCCTTCGCCTGGTCCACAGTTAGCCCCACTGTCCTGCCTCAGCTACCTCTCTGAATAAGAAGATTGGAGCCCCCACTGAGGGAAAAGTTGCTATGGTGAGAGTAAGGAGGCCATGAGGCCTCCTCCAAACAAACCAACTCCACCAGCCTCTGGCTCTTAAATAACAATATCATCCAGAAATTTAAGGACTCAGCTCTGGTCAAGGTGGCAAAGGGTCTGTTTGTCTTTCCTCGTTAGACAGTGGTCTTGTCTTGCTACCCTAATTGTAAAGGGGTGACTGGGAAGGGGAGATAGGGACAGTGTGGTGGTGGAGAGACCCCAGCCCCACTTCTCCAGGCTTTGCTGACAGGGGCCTGCTTTTAATTTTTATTTTTATTTTTATCCCATGCCTTTTTTTTTAAATCCCATAACTTCTTTTTCATAACTTTTTTTGGTAACTTTTCATAAAACTTTCTTCTACTTTTTGGTCACAAGATTTTTTTGCCACAACTTTTTTACATTTTTTATCCCATAACTTTTTCACCCCATAACTTTTGTTAATCCCATAACTTTTTTATTTTGTGTTCTTTTAATAAACCCTTGCATAGTTATATTACAATTTTGTAAAAATGAAACATTATCTCATGCCAAGCATGCTCAGCATTTGCACAGTATCAATACCTTTAATACTATATTTTTCAAGACACACAGAATAAAATTTTAAGGCAAAAACAGCACTTTGCAACAACTTAATAATTTATTACATTACAGTAGCATCACACCAGCAGTCAATAATGCCACTTTAGGCAAAAGTCTTTCAGTATTTCCGTTTTACATTCCGCTTACAAGAATTCATAAATTGGTAAAATTCATTCTAAGAAAACTTGGCAAATAAAGCTTTGGACTGGAATTGGCATTTCTTTCTCTACTTTTCCTTCCCACCATTTATTTCCTTTACAGTATTCATATTTTAAAATGTTTTAACTTATTTCAGAACATTAAGATAGCAGTTACATTGTTTAATAGTTATTTTAAAATGACTCTTTCAGATAAAGTTTTAGAGAAACTATAGTATGGATAGGGCTGATTTACATTTTCAAATTTTCTAAAAATCAGCTTTGGTTTTAGAGCTGATTTTTGTTCATTTCTGGAAAACCTATCAGATTTAATCCAATACTTTAAAAATGATTATTATATATTGCACTCTTTAAATCGGTGATTTGATTCTTCCTACAGAAATTCAAATTTATTGAATTGAACTCACATTTTAGAATTCTGTTTCTGATGAACTCTAACCTTCCAATGTTGCCTTCTAAGCAAATTGAAAGCTGCCTTATACCGAATGAGGAAGAATACCAATACTTGGCTGAATGAGGTATCGCAAAAGACTGCAATGCACTTTGAAGAAAGACTTAAGTTATAGTCATGCGATTTCCATTCTTTTTAGCTTTTTCTTAAATATACGACAAATATCTACACAAAGAGTGGTATTTCTGTTAATACAGTCAATTTATTTTCCAGATTGACATTCAGCTTAAATATGCCAGTATGTGATTTAATCCATAGGCACCTGATGAACACATTATTGTCAGATTGGTTACAGATGCTCGTAGTTGTCTTTAAACTGAACTCAAAGAATGCAAAAACATCAAGTTCAGAAAATAAAAGGCAAGGACAGGACTTTAAGTGCATTTTAAAGCCACGGGCTAGAAATCGTACCACTGTTAACTAGCCGCATTATTTGGTCTAACATTTTTTCTTTATCATTCTGAAACTGGGTTTATCTAATACATTGATACATTCATACAATTTGGAAGAGTCCGTTGAAGTCACAAGGACCCGATATTTGCACTCTTTCAGTGATTGCCGGCAAATCTGTTATTCCATCGGCAAAATCGTACTGCTGCTCTCCTGTTAATGTCGTATTTATAAAAGTATCATGAGGATGCCAACTGCTAAAAATGGAGATGGTCTAGTAACTAGAAATCCCCACCCCAGGGAGCACACATACATATCTCCCTACATCCTAATAATGTGATGTGTTTTGGAACACAGACATTAGAACTTCATGAAGTTTTAACTGTTGAGTCTTTCCCAAGCATCATCAAGTTATGATTTAGGCAATGTACAACTGAAATTCATTCATTCATCATGCATAGGCACAATCACATAAATACTGCACAAAATATGCCCGTAAGTGAAACCCAGAGGTACAGAAACACATTTCACTCTTCACAAAGAAGTTTGTGAGGAAATATAACTCTGTGATTGTATAGACATGTTTCCTGATAATACACTGACATTCACCAACAGTAGATTGCACTGCAGTTTGTACACATTTTAAGTTGCATAAACTTCTCCTTGATTTTCAAAGATAGTATAATACTGTCTACTAAAACTCCTTTTTGTTTCAACTAAGCACTCTCACATATATTAGTTTATAACAATGTTTATTATTATTTCAAAGTGTTTTCCATTCAAGGAAAAGAAGTCAATTCCTATGTCAAAGTAACCAAGGTGGTTGAAGAATAGGCAGAGTGGTCTAGATGGTAAAATCAATCTTCAAGCCTCAAAGAAGCTCCATGAACAGAGGAATGCCAGGTGTCACACAGCTTTCCTTCACTCTAATTCATTCTTGACTAGAGCCTGTATGCGTGTTCCAGGGACATTTAAACTCTTAAAGGATTTCTTCTGATCTTTACTAAATACATTAAGAAGAATGCCAACCAGTGCCCTTTTGTGTACTGGGACATGCAGTCATGTGATTAAAACAGGTAACATGAACTCTGACTTTAAAATATAGATACAAATGCTCTAAGCTAGGAAAGGTTTTCCACATCCATAGTCAATGATGGGAACCTTTCATTCCTCAGAAATAAGCCCTTTTTAGGTCATCAAAAAAGAGTACAACTGCTGCAGCTCATGATGCAATATCTTCATGAGCCCAGAGCACATACAAATCCTAAAGGAACTACAATAGTACAGCACTAATTCTTGGCAACAGAACAAATGAAACACACTCTATCTTGCACATACCTGCCAGAGCAGGCAACTTTCCTCTTCTGTGAAATTTAAAAAGCTCCCCCAAAATGTTATTACTCCCATCACCAATACACAGAAAATGAGGGAAAGGCTGTTTCCAGTTCTCGGCCTTTAAACAACTCTAAATGTCAGTACTCTTGGTGGCATATTACAAAGTATTAAATAGTGCAAACTTGGGGCAAACCACATATTGTGCTAATGAAGAGCTCACTGTGATTAAGATTAGATCAAACAATAGCAGAACATAGGCAAATTTTATCTGAATTCTGTAATGAATATACATGCTTCAATAACATTAAAAACACATGGCAGCCTATTCCAAACCAGCAAGAATAGTTTTGTGCAAATAGTGGGTCTTTGTGTGTTTGAACTCCCACCACGTAAGGGCAAACTCAATATGCATGCTAATGACCTACAATCATGAAATTGAAAAAGAAAATTGCGAAAGTATGCCAGAGTGAACATCAGTGAAAGCCACAGAGACCCACTCTCTTTTAACTATTTACAAATAAACTTAAACTATAAATTAGAAACACAAATAATCATAAGTGGCTATAACATTCAAACGAAGTAAATGAATTGTGTAGGAGATTAACCCCATAACTTTGTTTCTTTTTTAAAAATTTCTTGAGCAGCTCTTTGACGATGGTCATGTTTATCTCCTTCTTCTTGGCAGCCAAGCCCAGCAAAAGAATGGCACACAGCAGTTGCTGCCCAAGCCTGGGTGCTCCTGGTGGTCCTGCACGATCGGCTGTGCAGTAGGGTTGTCGTGGGGAGAACCCTCCCTGGCCTCTCCTTGCACAGGCTCCACGCTGTCAGTGAGGCTCACCTCACAAAGATCTTTGGAGAGAGGGAGGCGGGGATCTGAGCTCAGTGAGAGCCCCCCTGCTCCTGCCTGCCCACCCCGCCTGAGGGCTCTACTCACCACCATGCTTGTGGGCAGCCCCAAGCTCCTGGGGGGCTGGGGCTCCTGGACTGGGCTCATGAGCAGGGTTCTGGGCAGTCACCAAGAATTTGCTGTGTCCCTTGTAGTCGCCACCAGCTGCAACACCATCTCCTGCAGCTCCAGCAGCTTCACCTGGAGGGAGGGGTGCTCAGCTGTCACGCTGCTGCCAGCGCTCACCGTCACAGCCACCCCCACCCCCGCAGAGATGTTGCACACTCTACCTTCATCTCCTCCCTGTCCAGGGCCAGCCTGATGGTGTCCTCCTCCCGGTGCTGCATCTTTGGCACTGCCCCCTGGCTTTGTTATAGGGTGATAAACTTTCCTGCGGGAGGACAGGGCTCAGACGCTGGGGCCCCTCCAACAGCCCTGCAGCTCCCCCTGCCATGCCCTGGCCTCCCACTCACTGATGGCATCCCTCTCTGTAGTACTGGAAGAATCCAAGTTCTTCTTTCTCCACCAGCTCACTCAGGTCTGCCTTCTCCTCCAGGTGGTCCATAAAGCCGCTCTGGAGCCAAAATAATGGGGTCACATCTCGCCAGCGACCTGCCCTCAGGTGGCATTTTCAAGTCATGGAGAAGGCGGAGGTGAGTTCCGGCATGGGCCAGCTTCTCCATGACTTCCTGCAGGGCCCGGTGGGTCTCCCCACTCACAGACTCGCCCCCAGGCCCTGGGGCTGGGACCGCTGCCTCTGGCTCCTTCTGGGCCGAGGCCACCGGGTGAGCCAGGCGCTGGCAGCACACCCTCTGCTCTTTCACCTGCTCTTGTAACTGTGCCTGCTTCTCCTGGGCACTAGCTCCAGCGGACTTGAAAAATGCCACCTGAGGGCAAGATGTGAGCATTCTTCTAGGGGCATACACAGAAGAAATGGGGCAGAGAGGTGGAGCGCAGCCCCTTCCCTTGGGGCCCCAGAGACTGCACATGTTGGTCACAGGTGAAATGGTGTCTGACCACTGGCTCTCGGAAGGGGTGAGGGTCCAGAGAAATCAGAAGGCAGGGAAACGAAGAGCATAAAGGGGTCTTGGAGGGACCACAGAGAAAGGTGGCAAAATGGGTGCAGGGGGAGTCAGGCTCACCATGGCCTCCCTGCTCTCCAGGTCCTCTGGGACACTCGGCATGGGCCGAGGTGCCTCCTCCCCCTCACTGTCCAGATGTTCTCCTCCGTGTCCTGTGGGGGGTGGCCAGAGGGGTCTTCAGACAACTCAACAAGGGAAGTATTGTGGGCCCACCTCTGCCTCCACCCTCATTGTGTAACCCTGAGCCAGGCCCTCCCCAGAGAGGAATGAGCTGCTGTTATTTATTTTTACTTTGAAGAACCAAGATCTTGCTATACTGCCCAGGCACATTCCCACTACTGGTCGGTGCGGGAGTTCTGACCTGCTCCCTTTCTGACCTCGGCCAGTTCAGCCATCCTTAGGCAACTTGGTGGCCCCCCGCTCACAGGAGGTCACCATATTGATGCTGAACTTAGTGCAGGCACCCGGTTAGTATAATGACCAGCTGTTCTAAAGGTCTCTTCCAACTCCTCAATCCTATGCTGCTAGCAGTCCCCCCTTCCTCCTGGGGCTCTCTCCTCTTCCTCTGAGCGGTCTCCCGTACCTTCCCCAGGGAGAGCCATGAGGCTCAACTGGGCCGTTAGCTGCTGTTTCTGCTGGCTGGCAGCTTCCAGACGCTCCTAAGGGGCCAGGAAAGAGTGAGAAGGCACAGAGTTTGCCAGGTCGTCCCCCTCACGGCCCCATCCTCGGCAGCTCCCTCCCCTGGGCCTCCTGCAACTTTTGGCAGGCCATCTCGGCCACCGCTTTGCCCCAAGCTTCCTGCTGCTGCAGCTGGTTCATTAGCTGGGTCTGCTGCAGTCACTGCCTGTACAGCGCCTCCTTCTCACAGGTCAGCTGCTGATAGGCGGCCACCTGCTGCTGATAGGTGGCCACGTACTGCTGCAGGTGACCCAGGTAATGGTCTGGCTGCTGCTGCAGACTCTGAGCCTCTTGGCTCTTCAGCTCCACCTGCAGGAAGACCCTGGGTGTGAGGGCACGTGGTGGCTGGTTTCCAGATTCTGGGCCCATTAATAGGGTAGCGAGGGCACTGTGGGGCTCTGTCGCCTGCCCAGGCCCCTGGCCCCTTACTCCAGGCCTAAGTGACTGCCTCCCTTTCCTAGAACCCCATGCCTCCTTCCCCAGCCTCAAATCTCATGTCCTCTTCCCACCATTTCAACTGTAGGCCACAGAATGGTAGAAAAGTAGTGGGAGCCAACCACCATCTGCTAAATGTGCTACAGGCCTAATGCTTCCCATGTATTATCTCATTTAATCCTCAGCACCTCTGTAAGGAAAATGCTAACTTCCTTTTGAAGTTAAAGAAACAGAGACTTAGAGATGTGAAGTACTTGAATGGTGACCAGTGGAACTGAGGCTGGAATCCAGTTTTAATCTAAGGAGTCTTTTTGTTTTGTTTTGAGACAGAGTGTCACTCTGTGGCCCAGGCCGGAGTGCAGTGGTGCAATCTCAGCTCACTGCAACCTCCACCTCCTGGGCTCAAGCAATTCTCGTGCCTCAGCCTCCTGAGTAGGTGGGATTACAGGCATGCGCCACCACCATGCCCCACTAATTTTTCTTTCTTTTTTTGTTTTTTGTTTTTGTAATTTTAGTAGAGATGAGGTTTTACCATGTTGGCCAGGCTGATCTCAAACTCCAAACCTCAAGTGATTCTCCTGCCTCAGCCTCCCAAAGTGTTGGCACTATAGGCGTAAGCCACCGCGTCTGGCATAAGAAGACTGTTATACCACTCTGTCTCTTCCCCTGTGATTGGGGGTGCTCCATGTCTCTAGCTGGAATGATGATGTCCAGACCTGGGAGGAGCCCAGGGCTACCCACCTCTAAAATCAGAGGGCAGGAAGCAAGAAACAGCCACAGGACTGCCCTGGAGGGTGCTGGGGTCACCTGCCCCCGGGCTGGAGCTGCCTCTGGCCTGGCACCTCCCCTCCCCAGAGGCTGGTGCCCACCTCCCAGACCTTCTTGGATGGGGTGGAGGTTACCGTCTCCTTCACCTTGCCTAGCTTCTCCTGCAGCTCCTTTACTTGCTGCTCCAACTGTAGTACGCTCTTGTTCTCATTGTTCTGGACAGAGAGAAGCAATCAGCAGCCACCCACTGCAGCTGGAGACCCCAGAACTTGGTGACTGCCTCCCATGGCACCGGGAAGGGTGGAGGCAGGTTAGAAAAATCATCCCCTGTCTCCCACAGCCACCAGAGCAGGGCTCTGGCTCACAGGTGCCTTTAGGAGTAACATTTCACTTGAGGGCTACACTGCCCCATTTTATAGGTGGGGAAACAAAGGCCTGGAGGGCTAGGGAGGAGGGCAGGCTCCCCAGCTGGGGCAACGCACCAGCTCCTTGAAGCTGTTCTGTGGCTCGGCCAGCTGCCGAAGCCTCTCCTCCTGCTCTGGAAGCCTCTCCTGCTGCTCCTGAAGCCTCTCCTCCTGCTCCCGAAGCCTCTCCTTTTGCCCCTCATTCAGGAGACTTATGCGCTGATTGTACTCCACCTGGGCCTGGAGCGCTCCTGCCACTCTCTCTAGTTCCTTCCTCAGGTGCTGCAGCTCCACCTCAGAGGGCACTGCTGGGGGCTCCGGGGGCAGAGGTTCAGCTGAGAAAGGAAGCAGATAATAAGAGCCTCTGGATTCCAAAAAAAAAAGAAAAGAAAAGAAAAGAAAAAACCCTCCTCTTGGCGCACAGCTCCTCTCCGGCTCCTCAAACTTAGCCTCACTGCTAATGATTCCTCGCACCCAGATGGGTAGCCAGTCTTCCAAAGCACTTTCAGAGAAAGAGCACTGCGGGTGGCTGACAACGGGCCCTCTTTGCTGATGGGGACACTGAGGCTCATTGAGATGACAAGACTTGCCGTCTCCTGGCACAGACCTCTTTCCCTCTGCCTCAAAGCCCTTCCATCCACCCACCTCGCTGGGGCACTCCAAGACACCCTCACAGCCCTCTGATGCCAGTCCTGCTGCCAGGTCACGCCAGCCCCATCTTACCCATCTGGTTTTTGAGTTTGGACAAGCTCCTCTCCAGCTTCTCTACCCGATATTTATCATGCTTCTTCTCCTTCTTCAACGAGCAAACCTGCCCAAAGCACAGGGGGAAAGGGCCCTGGAGAGAGGGGCTGGAGGCTGGACATGCTACCATCTCTCTCTCTGCCCCCACCTCCACAAAGCCCAGACCCATGACCACCTCTGGCTGTACTATTCCCATTTTACAGGTGCCCAGAAAGATCCAGTGACCTATCTAATGTGGGGGGGGCTGAAGGGTCAGATCTCACCTCCTGCGACATTTTTCTCATCCTCTGCTGCCACCGGGCCCTCTCTCCTTTTAGATGTTCAGCATATTCATCCCTCTCTAGCTGGACTTCTTTAAGTGACTCCTTCAACTGCAAGAATGGGCACAGAAATTAGGAAGGGCTGTCACTGGTCCTCACCTGCTCCTGGTTACCTGGGGTCATCTTCCTTCCACATCCCTCCCTCTGAACACCTCACCTGTGTCAGCTGCGCTTTCAGCAGTGCCTGCTCCCGCATGGACTGCTCTAACTTCCACTCCATACGTGCTTTACTGCGGCTGGAGAACTGCTGAAGAGTGAGAAGTTTCAATCTGGGGAGGCCGGGCCATTCCACACAGTGCCCCTTAAAAGGGCCAGGGCTAGGCCCAATATACAACTCGGTCAGTAAAGATCAAGGCATTTCCAAGCCCGTGGTTTGGTTTTTAAAGAACTCAGTAAAGTTGGAAGGGACAGGGAAAGAGATCGAATTTATAGCTGGCTAACAGAGGCCCAGAGAGATCAGATAATATTGCTATTGTTATTACTGTTATTATTACCACTGTTTGAACTTTTATGGAGTGCTTCACCAGATACCATGCTAGCAATCCCATTTAATCCTCGCAACCACCATGGGAGACAGTTACTATGATGACCTCTATTGTGTAGATGAAAAAACATGGAGTATTTGAGGTTAAGTGCTTGCCTAAGATCACTTAGGCAGAGCTGGGATTTAAACACCCAGATCTATCCAATTCTCTAAGCCCATTTTTCTTGCTGGGGGTGGGGGCACAGCTAGGAAGGGGAAAATTAATCTTTTGTTCACTTTTTGAAAGGATAATACATTCACATAGTCCCAGACTCAGAAGGTACAGAAGGGAAGTATCTCCCAGCCACCCTGTTGCTCTCTCCTGAGTTTTTATGAACACTTGCAAACATATTTTATGTATATTATCATAATATGTACACACACACACACGTTTCCTCTCTCTACAGAAATGGTAACATACTAAAGGTACTCTTCTGTACCTTCACAGTACAAGTAGCCAATACCCCACTTAGGACTTGGCCAAGACCACAGCCAGGTAAAGGCATGGCAGGCACTTGGCCTCCAAGCTCTACGTCCTGTGTTCTCTCCCCAGAGTGCCCCCCAACTCACCCACAGCAGCTGACTCAGTCCCAAGCTGCCGCTAACAACCATACAAAAAAGCAGTGAGAAATGGCCATGCTGCCTTCTGGGCAGGACACTCCATCCTGCAGAAGGGACCTTTAGGCTCACTCCTCTGTCTGTGAAGCCAGGCTACCAGGGGACGGGGCAGGTGGTTGGACTCACCCTCTCCGCCTTCTTCTTCTGTGTGGCGGTGACAGCAGAGAGAGCCCGCTCTAACTCTCCTTTACGCTGCAATGAATGTTGCAGACGGACGGCCAGATCCTTGGACTCTTCTGTAATGAGAGAGTTGAGATGGGGCCCAAAGGACTCCCCCTGAAGACCTGTCAAAGTCCCAGGTTGAAGGATGACAGGGTACCCAGATTCCCACCTTCAAAGTATCTGAGAGAATGTTTCGTGTGGTACAGGTCCGTATTTAGTTTCCCTTTCTGTATGTTCAATCTCTGGATTTGAACCTTTGGGAGAAAAGCCAAGCAAGTGCTGAAAGAGAAGGAAAGAAACATTCTCCGGAGGACAGGAGAAAACTGCACACCGTCCACTCACCTCTAGCTCCCTTTCGGCTTTCTGTTTCTCGTTGTTTGCTTTCTTTTCCTGTAGGAAGTGGAAGACAGAGATCTAACCAGGCGGAGGCAGAGATGGTACTGCAAGAGACATGTCCCCAGAATGCCACCACTGCCCCTGCCCCGGGACAGGCCCACCCATGGGACCGGGTTATCAGGGACCCTGTGGGGGATGGGGTGGACTCTGGGGGGTGAGCCTTCTTCCCCAGGCTGGGAGTGGGTGAGACGAGACTCGGGGCCTCTACATCTGAGTGTCCCCCAAACCGAGCAGTCATGTCGCGAGCAAACAAAGAAATCATGTTACTTCTTCCAGCTGATGTTCCACTTGTTTCTTCTGTTGTTTCTGTGGGGAGAGTCACATTAAGGTGATGGAGGGTGGCCCCCTCAACTCTATTCCCCAGAGCAGGAAGTGGTAGGCAGGGACCAGGAATGGATTTTAAAGGCAAAGTTCTCAGACCCAGTGGGAACACGAACTGGTAAACTCTCCTCAAGCTCCCAAGGACAGAGGATTTGGGTCTTTGTTGGCTTTTGTCCACAGCCACAGAACTCAAGGTCTGAATCTGGAATCTCTTGACAGGACAGTAACATAAACCTCTAGAGATGGAGTTTGAGAAAGGCCCCCCCTTCTGCCAGCTTGTGATTTAGAAAAGTGCATTCATTCAATAAACATTTACTGAGCACGTACGGGCCAAGTACGGTTCTTCACAGCAGATTTAGGGCGGAAAAGGACAGACAGGAGCCTTTGGCCCTGAGGTTTCCATTCTAGGAGGCCTTTAAATCTCAGACTCTCAGAGCTAACAGAGACCTATGATACTCACTACTTCCTCTGGAAACACGAGCCCAAAAAGGAGAGGTGGCTTGTCCAGAATCAAAGAGCAAATTAGGGACTGAGTCATGGCAGAAATACAGGGCCCCTGACAACCAGTCAGGCTAGCACTTCCCCAAGAGGCAACAATCCCAGGGCGTGTGTAGCAAGGACTCGAGCAGGGACGTCTGGAGAGGGGAGAGTCAGCAAACAGGGCAGCAAAAAAAGAGCCATGCTGCATGCTCCGGGGTCCCTCCAGGTGAGGCCTGGGCGCCCCAGCTCCCTATTCGCCCTTGGCACCAGGGGCCGCCGTCCCCTTTCTTCAGGGCCCCAAGGGGAAACTAGAGCCCAGGATTGGCAGCGTGGAATCAGGGGACCCCAGTGGACTCTTACCAAAGATTTGATGGTGTTCTTCAGTTGACTGACTTTTACGGACCTCGAGTCTGGGACTACTGCTAGTTCTTGGCACGGGCTCTGAGGCGCATGCAGAGAGGAGGAGGTGGAGGAGGAGTGGGGGGAGAGGTAGAGAGAGCAATCATTAGGGCTGGGGTGTGTGTGGACTGTCTCAGCTGGCAGAGGGGCACCCCGTCCCACCTGGAGGAGGAGGTTGGAGGGCTGCCCTGCAGGGTCACTGCACCTCTGCCCAGAGCCTCTTACCTCCAGATCCTTCAGGGTAGCAGATGATGTAGGGCTCTCCCCGTGGATACCTGTTGCTGACTACAAGAGATGAGAGTGCACATGAAGATGTTCTGTCCCACTCAGTATCTAAGCCCTCTGACTTCTTTTCTTCCCCATCAACTGGCACAATTTTCTTTTCTGCCTATCTTGGACCCTTTGTCCCATAACTCCTTTGTGCCAACTTCTCTCATGGTTCTTATCTCCCCACCACAGCACCCTGCGGCCCTTTCAGTGACTCCTGTGCCAAGTGACTGTTCTCATTGTCCTGGCTTCCCCTTGAGACTGGGGATGAGGAAAATCGAACAGCAATGACCATATCCTGGGTGTTCTGGGTGTTTACAGCAGGCCATGTACTAGGGATTAACATAAAAACAACAATAACAAATCTCATTTAAACTTCACAAATGGAAGTGAAACAATACCACCTCTATTATACAGATGTGAAAAGAGAGGCCCGATGAGGTCAAGCAACTTGCCCTAATTCATATCCCTAGCAGACAAAGAGGCAGGATTCAAACCCAGAATTCTTCACAGGTACCCAACAGTCCATCCACAATCTTAACAATTACCCTCTAGTGCCCCTTGGGTCCCCTGTCCCCAGGAACCTAGTCAGCCAAGACTCACATCTCCAGGTGAGTGGCAACCACCAGAAGTGGCTGTCTCATGGATGCTGCCATTTGTTTTCCTGTTCCTCTTGGCTCCTGCTGGAACACCAGGGCTGTTTCTCTGCCAATATTCTTTTAACTGTCAGAAACAAGAGCAGTAATACTCATGAGAACTATCAGCCCCTGCAGCCACATCCTCCTTTACAGTTTTTATAAAATACTCTTATACACCATCTGATTTAATGACACCAACAACTGTACAAGGTGTTGTCACAATCATTTAGTGACTCAAAGAGATTGATATCATGGCTAGAAAAAAAAAGAAGAAAAGAAAAAGGCGACAGACGAACTTTGAAACTCAGTCTTCTGACTCCAAACTCTGGGGTATTACCAAGAATCAGCAGCTGCCAGGGACCAAAACCAGAGGCAGAGGTAGAAAAGTAAACATTAAGTAGGCAGGAACTGTATGCCATGTGGTTTAGAGTCATACATCCTCACACGTCTGTTAGTGTGAAGAAGTGCACCAGTACCTCTCAAACTCTTATATCAATGTATCCTCATGGCAGAAGGCAGCCTTTCTGTTAAATCTGGGAATTTATCAGAAAGAGGACAACCCAAGCCTCATTTCAGAGAGAGGTCTGGTATACTCTTAGAAACCTATGTGACTGTCATCCCTAAGTACATTAATGTTTTTTCTCTTGATCTCAAGAGAATCAATGGAAACTGATGCTTCAGAAAGATGTCCCATATGTATCCTGTGGCACTCAAAGTACCCCAGGTTTACATAATATGAGGAAGATTCAAGCTGTCAAGTTCAGTTTCCCAAGATCTATTCCACAGAAGATGAGCAAATCTCACTTCACAGACCACTGACTGAAGGGCAGTCTGGTCCCAGAACCATGGAGAATTAGAATGTGAGGTGGAGAACTCACAAAAAATTTGTTAAAATCTCTCTGGAAAGTAGAAGCCTGGGAGAAAACCAAACCAAGTCAAACCCATTCTCCAGTTGCCATCCAGAGGTACTGTCAATGTTTTGAGCTCACAGGGGAAGTGTAGGCTTTTCCCGCTGTCAATGTTTGTGTTAAGGGAGTGAGGCAGCCTGAAACCTCTTGCTCCTAGGTCCCAATCTCCATTCCCCTTCCAGCTGGAAATTTGTGCTGTGACAAGAGGAACCAGAAATGGGGTGGCAATGCTTAGGGGACTGGGTCATAAGATCAAAGGCCAGTCTCGCAGTAATGACAGTTACTGGATGGACCATGACATCACTACATTCCACTCTTCCTGGTGAGGGGGAGGGACCACATCAGCATGATGTCCGAGTCACCGCTCCATGATAGGGGAGGGAAAAACAGAGCTGGGACCCAGGTCCTTGGAGACGCCAGTGCACACAGCCTAGGGAGGTCCACCTTGAGGCAGCAGGAGGGAAGGGAAGAGTCAGCAGCAGGGAGCCCCAGGATTCACCAGCCTAAAGTCACCCAGGGATGACTGGTGAGGGTGGGGTCTGGGGCTGTGGGACCCAGGTCCTTGGAGATGTGAGCCCAAAAAGCCCTGGGAGGTCAAGCTTGGGGTGGCAGGAGATGAGGGCCCAGTAAAGGAGCGGGGAGCCCCAGGATTCACCTGCCCAAAGTCACCCTGGGGTGATTGGTGAGGGCAGAGACTGGGCTGCTTGCTGAAGGGGTGGGGCTGACTGGCAAAACTTTGGTGGGGGTAGCCCAGAGGCACCGGTGTGGGGGTCCCAGTCCGGTGAACCTCGGGATTGGTATGGACTCTGGCAGCAGTCTTGTCGTTGGAGAGGATCTATGGCTGGGTTGGGGGTCCGTGACCTGGTGTGTTTTTACCTTTCTCTTGGCTGCTGCCAATTTACTTTGTCGAGTTTCTTCTGCCATTGCAGGGTGGGGAGGGAGGCGGGCTTGGGGCCACATCAGCAAAATCCCACCAAGCACTGATCAACACCTCCAGTCACCTACCAGGTAGCTGTGCGACTGAGCCAGAGGAGGCGTAACCAGGGATGCAGTAGAAGGCAGAATAGGGGCGTGGCCTTAATGCTCCAAGCCCATTGGTTAATGAGAAAGATGAAAGGGAAAGGGGGCGTGGCCAGGCATCATGTGTCCAGAGGGACCTTTGGCTCACAAGGAAAGCTGCCCATGCAACCACTGTCCCCACCCACTCTAAGAGAGGGGAGAGGCCGCCAACTCTGGGAGAGGGGCAGGGCCGGCTTTTGCTTTAAAAGCTTTTAAAAAATATATATGTGTATACTTTATATATATGTGTGTCTGTGTGTGTGTACCTGTGTGTTCCTCCAGAGCTGTCTTCATGATCCAGCTTCTATGCAAGGTCTATGATTTTGGCCTATATTTTTCATAGAGTACAAAAATTACCAGTATTACCTTAACCGAGATACAGATCCTATGAAAATGGAAAATCCATAGCATGCTTGATGATTACTGAAGCAGACTGTATTATCCAACATTCCAATAAGATAAAATAATCACAATGACTTCTCTTTTTTGGAAAAATGTTTCTCTTATTCTCCTACGTTATTGTGAAGACTTTTTTTCTTAAACAAGAAACATGTGTAATATTTGTAAAAACACAAAGCTTTTGGGCCGGGTGCAGTGGCTTATGCGTATAATTCCAGCACTTTAGGAGCCTGAGGCTGGTGGATCATGAGGTCAGGAGATTGAGACCATCCTGACTAAAAAGGTGAAACCACATCTCTACTAAAAATACAAAAAATTAGCCAGGCGTGGTGGTGGGTGCCTGTAGTCCCAGCTACTTGGGAAGCTGAGGCAGGAGAATGGCGTGAACCCAGGAGGTGGAGCTTGCAGTGAGCTCAGATCGTGCCACTGCACTCGAGCCTGGGCTACAGAGCGAGACTCCTTCTCAAAATAAATAAATAAATAAATAAATAAAACTTCTATTTCTTTCACTTTCTAATATAATTTTAATATCTCCTCCTGGGATTTCACTAAGACACATTTTGGACCTCATTCTGATCTTCCTCTCCCCTCCAAGCCCACCAACTTCTGCCCTATCATCTATCCTCATGTCTCTCTGTGTGACATGCTGACTTACTTTTTGGAGAGAATCGCCTAAACAATTAATTCTTTCTTCTCGTGTCTAATCCATCCACTAGTTTCTTATTTCAACAATTACATTTTTATTTCCTTATTTCATTTTATTCTGCGACTGAGTCTCATTCTGTCACACAGGCTGAATTGCAGTGGTACGAACCTGCAGACTCGGCCTCCTGGGCTCAAGTGATCCTCCCACCTCAGCCTCTTGAGTAGCTGGGACTATAGGCAGGTGCCCCATACCCAGCTAATACCATACCCACACAGCAGAGACATAAAAGATTTCCATCCTCAAAGAAGGTTCCATTGAACAGCACTGCTCTAATTCAATAAAAAATACCACTGAGCACAACATAGTAATAGAAAAGATTGAAGAGGCAGTGCTGATACTTAAAAACCTGGTATTTTCAGCCAGGCATGGTGGCTCATGCCTGTAATCCTGGCACTTTGGGAGGCTGAGGTGGGAAGATCGCTTAAGCCCAGGAGTTCTAGACCAGCCTGGGCAACATGGTGAAACCCTGTCTCTACAAAAAATACAAAAAATTAGCTGGGCATGGTGGCATGTGCCTGTAGTCCCAGCTACTTGGGAGGCTGAGGTGGGAGATCACCCGAGCCTGGGAGGTCAAGGCTGCAATGAGGTGAGATGGCACCATCACACTCCAGCCTGGGTGACAGAGTGAGACCCTGTCTCAAAAACAAAAAACAAAAAACAAAACAAAAACACCTGATATTTATTTTTAAGTACACTATTTTCAAACATTCAGAAGTTATTTCATCCTACCTTCATGGTTTCCATTCTATGCCTGGTTTAGAATTGGGATCTGATAAAATAAACGTGTTCAACAGAACCACTTCTCATGGCTGTATAACAGATGATCAATATGTATTTGCTGAGGAAATCATACAATTTTCTTAAATTTTTTTAACAAAAATTGTGCTTTCAAGGGACCAAACTTGAATACTACACCTTCATGTTCTAAGAATCAGGGGACTTATATAAAACCTCAGTTGCCTGATAAGGACTACATCAAAGTGAAAAGCCATGGGAAAGAACTAGAAAGTATACTTTTGACCCTAGTTCTGTAAAGTTTCCTTATGCCACAGGTAATACACATCGCAATTCCTGCCAAATTCTTTCCCTCACCTCTGTTTATGGTCTCGATTCCATAAATAGGAGAAGGGCATGAATTTGCTTTAGTTAGATAGACAGATAGATGGATAGATAGATAGATGGATGGATGGATGGATGGATGGATAGATAGATAGACAGAGATAAAGATAGAGACAAAGATGGAGACAGAGATGGACATAGAGACAGATTTGCAGAAGATAAGTTCTAGGTGAACTAGTGTCAACATTAAAGTGGTATGCCTACATCTAACTATTCTGGAGAGAAAAACATACCTCAAAGAAATTGACTTAAATATATACAGAGAAAAAGTTTAAGCTGAAAGCTACTGCCTTTTTATATGAGACACTTTAGGAAATTACTTGGGGGGCAAGAGAGAAAATGGGTGGACATAGCTTAGAGGTTACACAGTAGCAGATATGTAGGATGAACAAGCCTAGAAATATAATGTACAACGCGAGAAATATAGGTAATAAAATTGTGCTGTATTGGGATTCACGCTAAATGAGATTTTAAGCTCCTCTTGCCACCAAACAAAAAGAAAACGGGTAACTATCTGAGTTGAAGGATACGTTAATTTGCTTCACTGTAGTAATTTTTTTAACCATCTATATGCATCCCACAAAATCATGTTGTATACCTTAAATACACAGAATACAATTTATTTAACATAAAAAACTACTCCAATATTTTCTGCATTTTTAATATGCTCACCCAAAGAAAGCATTAATTTGCATCTTTGATGTTAAACAGATAGCCTAATCAAGTCACTATCAAGATCAAGACTAAAAGTTACAGCTTTTTTCTTTTGATGCCTTTCAGATATATCTATTTATATATAAAAATATATATACACACACACATACATACACACACACATATATATGTAGTTATGTGTGTGTGTATATATAGTTACAGTTTTGGCCAGGTGCAATGGCTGACACCTGTAATCTCAGCACTTTGGGAGACCAAGGCTGAAGGCTTGCTTGAGGCCAGGAGTTTGAGACCAGCCTGGGCAACGAAGCAAGACCCTATCTCTACAATTTTTTTTTTTAAACAAAATTAGCCAGGGATGATGGCATGCACTTGTAGTCCCAGATACTTGGGAGGCTGAGGCGGAGGATCCCTTGAGCCCAGGAGTTCAAAGCTGCAATGGGCTGTTACTGTGCCACTGGATCCCAGTCTGAGCAACAGAGCAAGACTTTGTCTCAAAAACAAAATTTATAGTTATAGTTTTATGAACCTTGACTGCAACTGAGGGAAAATCCCGTAATTGGCAAAATGAATTCTGCCTGCTTGCAAAACTTCTGACTAATACGGAATGAATAATAGGAAGCCCATATTAGAGGATCCACATCAGTTAAAAAGTTTCCAAATAAGAGTGACTCTGAGTTCTGCAGAGTGAAAAGATTGGGTTCAAACCAAACACTTGCAAGATCTTGAGTAAGATACTTAATCCCTCTGTGACTCACTGTTCTCAAATGTAAGTGAAGATAATTTGTAACTCAAAAAAAATGAAAAAGTTTTCTCTAAGATTGCAAATCCTAAGGATAATTTCATTTTAATATCAGTTATTTAGTCTGGATACACCATAATGCAGACTAATTTTCCCTCTGCTTAAAGACCACACAAAAACATTACCAATAAAATTTACTTGTGTATCAACTTTTACTCCTGAGACTTCATCGTTTGTTTGGTTAAAAAAAAAAAAAAAAAAGCGCACTAGACCGGGCACAGTGGCCCATGTCTGTGATCTCACTTGCGGAGGCCAAGGCAGGTGGATGAGTTTGAGAACAACCTGGGCAACATGGAAAAACCCCGTCTCTACAAAAAAAATATATAAAAATTAGTCAGGTGTGGTGGCACATAACTGTGGTCCCAGCTACTCCAGAGAGTGAGGCGGGAGGATTGCTTGAGCCCAGGCAGAGGTTGCAGTGAACCAAGATGGCACCACTGCACTCCAGCCTGGGTGACAGAGCAAGACCCTGTCTCAAAAAAAAAAAAATCACTATAAAATTGAAATTCACAACAAAATGTGCATACTTAACCTTCTTTTTATTTATTTATTTATTTATTTTTAATATTTTGAGACAACATCTTGCTATGTTGCCTAGGCTGGTCTTGAACTCCTGGGTTCAAACCATCCTCCAGTCTTGACTTCCCAAAGTACTGGGACTACAGGTGTGAGCCACCAGCCCCGCCAGCCCTGTTACACTATTCTTGGCCCCTCAAGTGACTGTATGAATTTTAGGATCAGCCTCTCGAGTTCCACAAAAAAATTCTATTGGGATTTGTGTAGGAATTTCTTGAATTTATAGATTAATTTGTTGAGAAGTAGTATGTTTATAGCATTGAGTCCTACGATTCATAATATATATGGCATATATTTCAGTTTAGTCAGTTCTCCCTTTAAGTCCCTGGGTAATTTTTATATTTGTCTTAGTCCCTTCATAGTGCCATAACAAAACACCTGAGACTGGGTAATTTACACAGAGCAGAAGTTTATTTTCTCAGTTCTGGAGGTTGGGAAGAACAAGATCAAGACTCCAGCAGACACAGTGTCTAGTGAGGGCCTGGTCTCTGCTTCCAAGATGGTACGTTGAATGCTGCTTCCTCTGGAGCAGGCAAATGCTATGTTCTCATGAGGCAGAAGGGACAGATTTACCACCACCCACAAGCCCTTTTATAAGGAAGGCACTAATCTCATGCATGAGGGCTCACCCTTATGTCTTAATCACTTCTTAAAGGCCCCACTTCTTAGTACTATCATCTTGGGAATTAAGTTTTAATACATGAATTTTGGGAGACACATTCAGGCTATGGCAATACTCTTCATGAAAGGCCTGTGTATACTTTGCTAGATATATTCTCAGGGTTTTGTTGCTATTGTGAATAGAATCTCTTTTTTTTTTTTTTTTTTTGCCACGGAGTCTGGCTCCTTTGCCCAGGCTGGAGTGCAGTGGCGTGATCTCGGCTCACTGCAAGCTCTGCCCCTCCAGGTTTAAGCAGCCTGTTGCCCAGGCTGGAATGCAGTAGCATAGTCATAGTTCAATACAGCCTCAAACTCCTGGGCCCAAATGATTCTCTAAGCTAATATTTTTAATTTTTTAGAGATGGAGTTTCATTCAAGGATCACTAAAGGCCAGTGATCCTCCCGCCTCAGCTTCTGAAATTGCTGGGATTACAGGTGTGATTGAGCCATGGAGCCTGGCCAGACATGGGCTATTGATTCTCGCTGTTACTCTTTTCCCTTTCCTTCTAATCCTTGTATTGGGAAGAAAACAGTATGGAAATTTTATTTCTTCATTTTATTGATACGTAGATCTCTGCTTAGAAGACAATTTTAGTTTTAAATTATAAATGTTTCGTTCATTATTCATAGAAAACTAGATTTGCCATGGGATATTTATAAGTGTTGCACGAATGAAGGGTTTTCTAGTCAAATAAGTTGAAACACATTACGTTAAACAAACTTGGACAGTTTTGTTTCCGGTCATTTTTAGAGTTCTAAATTATGATTCTACTCAAGAGGATATTGTATGCGGTATTTTCAAACCAACTCATCCTGCGTCAGGTTGTGGTTACGCTTTGGGAGAGGAAGCTATAATCTTATACTGAGACTGTAATGAATGTATTAAGGTAATTTTCGTAGCTTTCTCTTTTTGGAGTTACCTGAGAAATTATGACACCCTTTTCCAAACAGGCCAACCTGCTTTGCAAACACGATTTCCATAATTTTAACAATGGTGAGGCCAGGCACGGTGGCTCATACCTGTAATTCCTCCCAGCACTTTGGGAAGCCTAGGCAGGAGGATCACTTAAGCCAGGAGTTCAATACCAGCCTGGGCAACATGGCAAAAACTCATCTCTACAAAAAATACACATATTAGCCAGGCGTGGTGGCACACACCTATAGTCTCAGCTACTCAGAGGTTGAGGTGGGAAAATTGCTTCAGCTCAGGAGCTCGAGGCTGCAGTGAACGGTGATCACGCCACTGCACTCCAGCCTGGGTGACAGAGCAAGACCCTGTCTCAAAAACAAACAAAACAAAACACAAACCAAGGGTGAGAGAGATGTTAGATGTTTTTGTCCTTGTTACAGATGTAAATGCTCAGTTGGAAAGAGGGAAGTATTTAGAGTGAAAAAGTTTCGGTGGAACACACACAAAAATAGGAAGATCAGGTATAACTGTTCCAAAAAAAAGAGTATGGCAGTATAGAAGAAAAGGTCTCCATGAAAATGCAGAAGAACAATTTCACAGCTGGTGCTGGCATTTCAGAGACCTTGAGCTGGGAATCAAAAGATGGGAATTTCAGTCTCGGATGTGCCACTCCTTAGAGGTTTAATATCTACTAAACCCGGCGGGCTCCACTTGGTGGTGTTTGCTATTTAAAAAAACAAAAACATGTGGCAATGATCTTCCACGTGATTCTGACTTGAGCCCCACGCGAGTCTGCAGACTTACCCTTCCACTGCTTTGCCCTTCAAGTTTGTGCCCATTAGCAAAGAGAAATTTTCTCTTTGGGATCACTGCTGTGTTGATCTCAGGAATATTTGGCGTTGAATTTAACATATTTTTCATATGTGTGTGCAATAGGGAGGCTGAGAAAGTTGTCTTTTTTTTAAGGTGTTCATTTTTGGGGTACAGGTAGCAGCCTGCTCTACAATCCACACAGAAGCTGGAAATAGCCTCTAGAGAATTTCCACGTTTAGAGAAGATAAATTTATACATTTGTATCTAATCAACATTTTTTAGGTAACATAGTAGTCTAATTATACTATGTATAATTATACTATGTATAATTATGGGTACTGAAATGACACCTGGCATATGCTGTATGCTCTGTTATATATACATATATATTTACACATATACATATATATTACACATATACATATATATTTACACATATATATTTACACATATACATATATATTTACACATATATATTTACACATATACATATATTTACATATTTTACATTTACATTTTACATTTATTTTACATTTTACATTTACATTTGACATTCTACATTTATTTTACATTTACATATTTTACATTTACAAATATTTACATATTTTACATTTATATATACATATATTTACATACATATATTTACGTACATATTTTTACATACATATTTACATGTGTATATATTTACATACATTCACATACATATTTACATATATATTTACATACATACATATTTACATAATATTTACATACACATATTACATACATATATGTACACATATACATATATTTACACATATACATATACTATGTATAATTATACTATGTATAATTATGGGTACTGAAATGACACCTGGCATATGCTGTATTTAAAAATGTGAGGTTCAGTGAGAACACATGGACACAGGAAGGGAAACAACACATACTGGGGCCTGTCAGGGCGGGTGGGGGAGGAGCATCAGGAAAAATAGCTAATGCGTGCTGGGCTTAACACTGAGGTGATGAGTTGATAGGTGGACCAAACCACCATGGCACACGTTTCCCTACGTAACACTCCTGCACATGTACCCTAGAACTTAAAACAAAATTTTAAAAATAATAAAAAATAAAAATGTGAAATTCAGCACATAAACTGTTGGTTTTATTATTCATATTTTCTTAATTCAGAAATTATTTTCTGAACTATGGTTTATTCGATAATTTTGACGTAACAATTTTTTAAGAGGAAATTTAAGTTTTACTTTTTAATTGGGGCTCTTGGTTCTTTTTAAGAAAGACAGAGATAAATCATTTATACATTTAATTAGAAGAGACTGGGCTTGAATTTTTAAAAAGTACTAGAAATCGTAGCCACTATATATGTTATCTTTGAAATGTTTTAGACACTAATTACCTAAACAAGGAGCAAATAAGTTAAACCTCTTGGATTTTAATAAGAACTAAAATGTACAGTTGTATTTTCTGGTTTTTTAAATTGTTACAGTCTAAATTTATTCTTCCTAATGAAGAAATGTATGTGCCGTCAATATCAGGTTCTTTGTGGGTACTCACAGTTCCCTTTGCCTTTTACGCAGTGAATGTGGGCAACATGCGTGGAACAGAAATGATGTCGTTTTCTTTCTTTTGAATATCACTATGAATCTAATAATTCAAAGATTCCTAACTTTCTGAATGCCATTATTAATTGGATTCACAATGACTTACCAGGTACAGAGTTGTCCCGTGTGTCTTGGGGTGAACTACTGAGAGTGGTATGAGGGAAGCGATTCTCAGCTAGCGCTGAGTGGGGCCACTTCCAAAGAGGTGATGGGGTAAGAAGCACACACAATGTGGCATTTTCACTGCAAAGGGAGGTTTGTGCTGCCTCTCCTCCTGTGGCAGGTCTGCTCGCAGGGGAGGCTCCAAAGTTTGGCTTTGCTGGGTTTGGCATGTGAGAACTGATGAAATATCTGTATGTAGTATCTTTCAAGGATTTATATCGGTTGGATTTCTGTGTAAATTTGCATATCCCTTTGACTGCTTTACCCCATAGAAGCTTTGTATGCTTAACAAAATCTGTAACTTTTCTGTCACTTTCTCATTTAGCATCTGCCTTTCTGGCTTTTTACTTTATCTTTTTATTATTGTTTTTAGTTTAATGAGATTATGGTTAGAGAGAAAGATGGGTGCATGATTCCGCTTCTTTGGAATTTGTTGAGATTTTCCTTATGGCTCAGTACATATGTACTTGGGGGGGTGAATGCTGTCACTTTGGAGAGATATGTTTTTTCTGTACATTAAGTCAAGCTTGTTAATTTTCTAGAGAGATGTAAATCTTCTATGTCTATGCTGATTGTTTTTTGTCTCTTTTATCAGACACTGAGATATGTATTTAAATTGCCCTCTGAGGGTTGCAATTTTGTCATATTTTGCTTTCATGTATTTTGAGTGCTAGTTATTAGATACATTAACATTTTAGATTACCTTCTCCCTTGGTTTATTAGAATTTTTATCATTATATTGTGGCCTTAAAAAATCTCCCATATTGCTTTTTGCCCAAAGCCTATTTTATCTGATAATAATATAGCTTCCAACCCTTCTTTGGGTTAGGTACATATGACAGGTGTATCTTTTTTCAATCTCTCTCAGTCTTTCTGTGACTTTATGTTTTAGATGTCTTTTCATACTGTTTATTTTCTGTTTTTTGTGTTTTTTTGTGTGTTTTTTTTTTTTGATACGGAGTCTTGCTCTGTTGCCCAGGCTGGAGTGTAATGGTGTGATCTCGGCACTGCAACCTCTGCCTCCTGGATTCAAGCGATTCTCCTGCCTCAGCCTCCTGAGTAACTGGGATTACAGATGTTCACCACCACGCCGGCTAATTTTTGTATTAGCAGAGATGGGGTTTCACCATGTTGGTCAGGCTGCTCTCGAACTCCTGACCTTGTGATCCCTCCGCCTGCCTCATCCTCCCAAAGTGCTGGGATTACAGGCATGAGCCACCACGCGTGCCCTAATTCTGTTTTATAGTCATTTTCTCTTAATTATTCAGTCTATTTACATTTATTGTGATTGTTGGCATAGTTTCTTTTATAACTTTCATCGTATTTTGTGCTATTTGTTCCATCTGTTTTTATTTCTTCATGTCTTTTTTGTTTCGTTTTTGCTAATTCCTTTTATATTCATGGTTATTCTGCTCTTGAAATGTATGCTATGTGAATATATTTGTGAGTTGACAATACTTTATTAGCAATTAAATATACTATTTCTCTTTTTTTTTAGAACTTGCTCAAATGTTACATAACCTCAATATCCTTAGTATCTAAATTAAACTGACTTTCTGAACAATCATCATTTTAAGGCAGTTACCACGATCTACTAAAAAATAAAAAAAAATTAGCCGGGAGTGGTGGTGGGCGCCTGTAATCCCAGCTACTCAGGAGGCTGAGGCAGGAGAATCCCTTGACCCTGGGAGGCAGAGGCTGCAGTGAGCCGAGATAGCGCCACTGCACTCCAGCCTGGGCGACAGAGAGACTCCGTCTCAAAAAAATAATAATAATAATAATAATAATAAAGGAATTTAAAAAAAGACTGGGTTTAACCATGTTGCCCAGGCCGGTCTGGAACTCCTAGGCTCAAGCAATCCCCCACGCTTGGCCAGTCCAAAGTCCTGGAATCAAAAGCGTGAACCACCACGCCAGGCCGATCACGCCTGTCATCCCAGCACTTGGGGAGGCGGAGGTGGGTGGATCACCGGAGGTCAGGAATTTGAGACCAGCCTGGCCAACATGATGAAAACCCGTCTCTACTAAAAATACAAAAAAAAAAATTAGCCGGGTGTGGCGGCAGGCGCCTGTAATCCCAGCTACTCAGGAGGCTGAGGCAGGAGAACCACCAAAACCCGGGATGCAGAATTTGCCGCGAGCGGAGACCCAGCCACTGCACTCCAGCCTGGGCAACAAGAAGGAAACTCCGCCTCAAAAAAAAAAAAAATAATAATAATAAGAGACAGATTTTCACCATGTTGCCCAGGCAGGTCTGGAACTCTTAGGCTCAAGCAATTCCCCACGCTCGGTTGTCCAAAGTCCTGGGATCGAAAGCGTGAGCCACCACGCCAGGCTGATCTATTTCTTTCTGATTAATAAATTGGGCCGGGAGCGGTGGCTCACGCCTGCAGTCCCAGCACCCCGGGAGGCCGTGGCGGGCGGATCACCTGAGGTCGGGAGTTTGAGACCAGCCTGACCAACATGGAGAGACCTGTCTCTACCAGAAAAAAAAAAAAAAAAAAAAAAGAGCCGGGCATGGTGGCTCCCGCCTGCAATCCCAGTCACTCGGAGGCTGAGGCAGGAGAACCACCCAAACCCAGAGGCAGAGGCCGCGGGGAGCCGACACCGCACCACTGCACTCCAGCCCTGCAACAAGAGGGAAACTACGCCTCAAAAAAAAAAAAGAGAGAGAGAGAGAGACCGGTTTTCACCATGTTGCCCAGGCTGGTCTAGAACTCCTAGGATCAAGGGATCCGCCACGCTCGGCCGGTCCAAACTCCTGGGATCAAAAGCGTGAGCCACCACGCCAGGCCGATCCTTCCTGTCATCCCAGCACTTTGGGAGGCCGAGGTGGGTTTACCTGAGGTCCGGAGTTCGAGACCAGCCTGGCCAACATGATGAAAACCCATCTCTACTAAAAATCCAAAAAAAAAAAAAAAAAAAAAAAAAAATTAGATGGGTGTGCTAGCGGGTGCCTGTAATCTCAGCTACTCAGGCGGCTGAGGCAGGAGAATCGCTTGAACCTGGGAGGCAGAGGTTGCAGTGAGCCGAGACAGCGCACCACTGCACTCCAGCCTGGGTGACAAAGTGAGACTCCGTCTCAAAAGTATATATATATAAAAATAAAAAATGAAATAAAAATAAATTGGGTGTGTGCGCTGGCTCACGCCTGCAATTCCAGCATCCCCGGAGGCCGAGGTGGGCGGATAACCTGAGGTCTGGAGTTTGAGATCAGCTTGCCCAGCATGGAGAAACCCCGTCTCTACC
Source organism: Homo sapiens (assembly GCF_000001405.40). Classification (NCBI taxonomy): domain Eukaryota; kingdom Metazoa; phylum Chordata; class Mammalia; order Primates; family Hominidae; genus Homo; species Homo sapiens. Next base: position 115,172 of record NT_187659.1, on the reverse strand, counting down.
AAAAACAAATAAAAAAAAATTAGCAGAGCAATGTTGGTCAGGCCTGCAATCCCAGCCACTCCGGAGACTGAGGCAGGAGAACTACTAAAACCCTGGAGGCAGAAGTCGCTGCGAGCGGAGACCCAGCCACTGCACTCCACCCTGGGCAACAAGAGCGAAACTCCGCCTCAAAAAAAAAAAGAGAGAGAGAGAGAGAGAGAGACCGGGTTTCACCATGTTGCCCAGGCAGGTCTGGAACTCCTAGGCTCAAGGGATACCCCGCGCTGGGCCATCCGAAGTACTGGGATCACAAGCGTGAGCCACCACACCAGGACGATCTATTCCTTTCTGATTAATAAGTTGGGCCGGGAGCGGTGGCTCAAGCCTGCAATCCTAGCACCTCGGGAGGCCTAGGCAGGTGGATCACCTGAGGTCGGGAGTTTGAGACCAGCCTGACCAACAGGGAGAAACCCCATCTGTACCAAAATAAAAATAAAAAAAAAATACAAAATTAGCCGGGCTTGGTGGCTTATGCCTGCAATCCCAGCCACTCTGGAGGCTGATGCAGGACAACGACCGAAACCCGGGAGGCGGAAGTCGCGGCAAGCAGAGACCCAGCCACTGCATTCCAGCCTGGGCAACAAGAGCGAAACTCCGTCTCAAAACAAGACAAAACAAAAAGACCAGGTTTCACCATGTTGCCCAGGCCTGTCTGGAACTCCAAGGCACAAGCGATCCACCCTACTTGGCCGTCCAAAGTCCTGGGATCACAAGAGTGAGCCACCACGCCAGGCAGATCAAAGCGTTGAGCTGAATAAAGAGTTATCTTTTAGCATTTTGTGGAGCCCGGGTAGATCTGTGCAGGGGGAAGCATATTACAGAAGCGAGAAACAGAGAGTTATTTAATTGAAGCACGCATTATGTTTTTTTTTTTTTTACGTTTTTAGGAAAAATATGTTTTGTGACTTGCATTTGTTTGTTTAGTGACCTTGCAGTTGCACAGTTAGGGAATTAGGGTTTTGATAATGCCTGGGAAGGGAGCGATAAGGCTCACTAGCCATAGGAAAACAGGTAGTTTTTTTAAAGGACTAAGGCTCTTTCTCATTCTCAGGGGGAATTGGGTTTTTTTTACATACAGCTGAGTTTTTGCTTACACATTTTTTCATTTCTTTTAATTCCTGTTCCAATCCCAGCATCCTTGCGGTGCGGTTTCCCAGCGGCTCTCTTGCCTTGCAGCTTGTGTCGGGAGTTGCAGACAGCCATGGCCCATGGGCCTGGCGCTGACGGACCCTGGAGCGGTGTCTGAGGGAGGTGGGCAAAGCCACTGGCTGGCCCGAGTGCATCCTCACGTAAGTGCACAGATCCCGGGCTCGGGTGCGACTGCGGTCGCACGTGGACACGGGTTGCAGACCCCTGGCAAATTGTGGAGCTGGGGGAAGGTAAGGGGAAATGTAAATCACTTTTCCCCACATTTCAGAGGACCTAGGCTATCAAAATTTTAAAAATTGTTAAAACTTTTACAGTATGGATCTCTCAGTTGAATGTTATTGAAATCAACCTAACCTCAGTTATTCACGCCTATAAGCTCCCCTTGAGGCTTATTACGGCCCCCATCCCCCTACACACAACTGTGTTGGTTTCTCCTTCCGCCTGTGCTCCTAAAGCACTCAGTGTTTACCTGCCATCATACTTTATTGAAAGCACAAACTTGTCACTTGTCTGTCTACCCCACTAAGCTTCTTGAGAATTAGAACTTTCATGTCTCTTCCCAACACAAACGTTTTATGTGTATTTTGTTGAAGAACTTCAAATATGACCTATAAAATTATGACTCATTTATGTTTCAAACTCCAACCTCTCCCTTGAGTTCCTTGCTCACAAGCAACTCCAGACTGAGCTTAGTTGGAATTCAGTAGCGCACAACTGGGATATCCGCACCGTACGGCTTTTAACAATTTTTTAAATTTTGGTCCTCTCAGCATCACAAATTCACCGTGTCCAAAATACAGTAGAATGTTGTTTCTACCCACCTACACTCTGCCATCCGCTGAAGTCCTTTCCCCTTGCTCCACCACTCAAGCCTTGCCTATCGCAGTAAATGGCAGTTCTGTCTCTCCAGTTGCTCGCACATAAAACTAGGCTGCTATTTTGATGTCTTCACTTTTCTCTATTCTGTATCTAATTCCTTAGCAATCCTGTCAGTTCTACCTCCAAACTGTACTCAGCATATTCACTGCTCTAACTCCAGCTTAAATCACCATCATCCTTTGCCTGGAATGCTGCATCAACCTTCTAATCACTCTACTTTCCTCCTCCTCCTTCCTCCCTTTCTTCTTCCTTCGTATAAATCATCATTTCATCCTTCTGCTTAAAATCTTCTCACATTTTCTTATTACACTTAAAACGGCAAACTCTTACCCTTGAGCCCTGCAGAATTTGGCTCCCATCAGTCTCTCCGACTTCACCTTCTGCCTCCTTCACGCTATAGCCATGCTCACTTTTTTATTCCTCAGGCTTACCAAGCTCAATTGCATCTTAGAGAATTTGTTCTTGCTGTTTCTTCTGCCTGGAATACATGTTTCCCAATCTTTATAAGACTATACTTGTCTGTAAGTTTCACCTCAGATGTCACATCTAGGAGAGGTTTTCCTTGACCACTGTAAGCCAAAGCAAATGTTGATCATTGAGTGAATAAGGGAATGAATGAATGGAGTGGTATATAATGTAGCAGAGTAGAAAATTTAAGGCTAATTCTCTATACATCTCCAAGCAAATAGATTTGTAATGCTTTTCCTGCCAACAATCTATACAGCTGATTCACAAATACTTGGTTGACAGGTTTTATATATCATTGTGGCTCATCAGCTTATATATTGTTGGGGCCAGAATCTATACTTACACTTTATTCAAATTTGATTTTACAGAAGAGTTGAGGTTTTTATTTTTCTTTTAATTAAGAGGGCTGTGAAATTATTATCTATAATTCTAAATCTCATTTAATTCCTCCCAATAGGTTTCAAGCTGGATTGGAACCAAAGTTCACTTCTTTAACGAAAGTGCTTTATGACTTTAATAAAACAGTAGAGAATGGTAGAATCCATGGCAGCTCTTTACAAAAACTTGTGATAGAAAGTTTTGATGATGAGCAGACTTTGCAACAACTGGAATTGCAAAATGAAGCAATTTTACAGTGCTTCCAGAATGCGGTTAGTGAAAGAAAGATGAAGATATCAGTCTTCTCCCAGAGAGTGAAGAACAGGAGCATGAAGAGGCTGGTTCAGAAACAGAGGCTGATGGCCAGGAGGACTTAGAAGATTTAGAGGAGGAGGAGGACGTGTCAGATATGGGTGGTGACAATCCTGAAATGGGTGAGAGAGCTAAAAACTCAAGCAAATTCAGGGCCAGGCGCGGTGGCTCACGCCTGTAATCCCAGCACTTTGGGAGGCCGAGGCAGGCGGATCACGAGGTCAGGAGATCGAGACCATCCTGGCTAACAAGGTGAAACCCCATCTCCACTAAACATACAAAAAATTAGCCAGGCGTGGTGGCAGGTGCCTGTAGTCCCAGCTACTCGGGAGGCTGAGGCAGGAGAATGCCATGAACCCGGGAGGTGGAGCTTGCAGTGAGCCTAGATCACGCCACTGCAGTCCAGCTGGGCGGCAGAGTGAGAGACTGCATCTCAAAAACAAAAACAACAATTACTTAACTTTAGGATGCTCCAATAATCAAAATTGATAGTGGCTTGTGAACAGATAGATTACTTGAATAGAATAGAGCCCAGAAATAAACCCAAATGCTTCTGGGGGAGTTTGGTACATTATAAACATGACATTTTAAATCAATGAGGAAAAGAAATCATTTGCAGCTCACCCCACCATACACAGCAGGAATAGGAAGTCATTGGCAGAATAAAAAGATGGTAAGAACAGAACAGAATTGTAGAACAGTACATTTCTCGCTTCCCCACTTTTCAAAGTATTTTTTGCTTTTTCACAAATGTAAGTGTAATTTTATTTTCTAAATGTATACTAATTCTTTTCTTCTCTTTCTTAGATGAATGACAAAAATTACATCTTTAGAAAAAGAGTTGTTAGAAAAAAGCCTTGGCTGCATGTGGGGGAAGTGACAGCACAGAAGAGACCAGAGAAGAGCCTCCTGGAGGAGAGCCTGCACTTTGACCATGCTGTCCGGATGGGTGCAGTGCTCTTTTCTGCAAAGTGTTCACTTCTCTGCTTTTTCTGTGGTCCCATTTCATAGAAAGATTTGGGGTGATGTTTCTTTCCCTCAACTTTTATTTTGAAAACTTGCAAACACAGAAAAGTTGATAAAATCATACAGTGAACATCTGTATGCTATTCAACTGGATTCACTAGTTAATGTTTTGTCACACTTGTTTTCTGTCTTCTGCGTATGGAAGATTGTATATGTGCCCTTTTTCCCCCTGAATCATTTCAAAGTAAGTTGGCAGTATCAGAGCATTTCACTGTTAAGTACTTTCGCAGATATCTTCTAGGAACCAGGACTTCTCCTATATAATCACAATACCATTAATCCACCCCCAAAATTTAACATCAATACACTAATGATACCTACTGTATAGATTATAATCAGCTTCCTTGCAGCAATCTGTTTAGAAGGCTTGCATCCTGTCACTGTCCACTGATTAAATTTTGAACTCTAACTTGAAACCCTGGTCATCTCATTGCCTTCTTTCTTATACCCATTAAGTCAAAAGGAGCTCTCATTTTATTTCAACAGAAAAGAGAATGGAAAAGAGGGGAAGAGTCCCTAGTACCTTGGATAAAGTATGAGCACTTACTACCATATGTATTCTAGTTCTGTAGTTTTCAAACTTCAGGGAGCATCTCAAGGCTTATTAAAGCACAGATAGCTGTCCTTCCCCACTTTCTGATTCAGGAGGTGTGGGGCTGGCCCAGGAATTTGCATGTCTAACAAGTTCCCACGTGTTTCTGATGCTGAGGGTGTAAGGACTACAATGCGTGAATCCGTGGTTTAGTGGATCCACCTAATGAATACATGTTGTATTTCCTTTGGCACCCGTGATTACAGAGGAAACACCTTTCAACTGGAAGGTATCATTAAACAGAGGATAAGAGATCAGGTCAGTAAGAATTAAATTTCACTTAATTGAAATGTCACTCAAATGTTTAGAAATAATATGACAGGCCAGGCACAGTGGCTCATGCCTGTAATCCCAGCACTTTGGGAGGCCAAGGCAGACGGATCACTTGAGGTCAGGAGTTCGAGACCAGCCTGTCCAAGATGGTAAAACTTCCTCTCTACTAAAAATACAAAAATTAGCTGGGCATGGTGGTGCATGCCTATAGTCCCAGGTACTCGGGAGGCTGAGGCAGGGGAATCGCTTGATCTCGGGATATGGAGGTTGCAGTGAGCTGAGATGCGCCACCGCACTCCAGCCTGGGCAACAGAGTGAGACTCCATCTCAACATAAATAAATAAATAAATAAATAAATAAATAAATAAATAAATAAGATAAAAATAAAAATAAAGGGAAGATGGGGCAGCTTTGTGTATTGCATGTCCTGAAAATGGGCTGATTTCTCTCAAGAGGCAGGGATTTAAGCTCTGTAGCCTATGTGGGATACATACAGGAGAAAAAAGAAGAAAAAGAAAAGAAATGTAAATATAAATAAATGAAAATAACACTTTTCCATGATTATAAAGGAAATCACATTGTTTTTGTAATAATTTGGATGACAAAATGTAAAGAAAAATCTTTAATTTTGCCACTCAAAACATTCCGGTTTGTTGCTTTTCACACTTTTTATGCTGTAAACATTTTAAAAAGTAGAATCACAATACATGGTCTTTTGTCACTTACTATATTTTAAGCATGTTTCTATGGAGAAATATACCCTGGCATCATCACTGGATGTATGTTAAGTGAGTCATTGCCACCCCAGAGGTGGATTTCCTTCTATATATATTTTAATGGACTCGAGTCAGGATTTTTGCACTGAATTCATAGAAGTAGAATTTCTAGAGGAAAGTAATATAAAACAGTTTTAGGATTTTTAAAAGAAATGTTCAAATCATCCTACAGGAAAATTGGTTGAGTTTATGCTCCCACCAACAGGGACAGAGCTCCAGGTTCCCCCTTCCATTTGTCATCTTCGCTGGTCTTTAAGCAGAAAATCTCATTGTTTTCATTACCTTTCTTTGATTTCTAGTGCTTTTGAATCTTTTTCATTTGCTCATTGGCCATTTTTATTCTTGTGGGAAGTGCTGGTTTCTCCATTGCCCATTTTCTGCTGCAAATCATTCATTTTTTTTTCTGAGTAATTTTAAAGATTTCTTTATAGGCTAAGGCTACAAACCTTTAATCTGTCATTGAGGTTACAAAGATCTTCTCCCAGTAAGTAATTTGTCACTTCACTTTATTTATTTATTTTTTGCTAGCAAAGCACCAAAGTCAAATTTCACTTAATTTTTATCCTGCTGAATGAACACATTTTAAGTTAGTGATTTTAGTGGAAACAGGAGCAGGACAGAATGTAATAATTAGATCTCGCTCTGTCACCCCAACTGGAGTGCAGTGGCATGATCATAGCTACTGCAGCCTCAAACTTCTGGGCTCAAGTGATTTTCCCACCTCAGCCTCCCAAGTAGCTCTAGGACTACAGGTGTGTGCCGCCAAGCCCAGCTAATTTTTAAATTTTCTTTGTAGAGATATGAATTCGCTATGCTGCCCAGGCTGGTCTTTAACTCCTGACTTACCCCACCTTAGCTTGCCAATATGCTGGGAGTACGGGCGTGAACTACTGCTCCCGGCCAAGAGCTTACTTTGGTTTGCTAGCAAGGTTCTTGGTATCTTTTTATATTTGAGGCTTTCGTGCTAGTGCTGAAGTATTACACTCACCATCTGAGGTTTACAGGACTTTTGTTTTAATATTGAACCGAGGGAACTGTTTAGTTTTGCATCTTTGCAGGTATACAAAATGTGCCTACCAGGACTCTGCTTTATATCCATTGAAAAGCAAGAAGTAATACAGTAAAAGTTTGCCTGGCTACAGGCTTTGGAAGAATGGAGTATTCTGGTTTAATTCTATTAACTTGGAAGGATGAAGGTGGAAAAAATTCAAAACTTTAATTTCCTGTTGAATGCAATTTGAAAATATAGCCAATGAGTCCACTTTTCTTCTCTAGTAAGTTTGGACATTCAGATCTACTTGGTCTTTTATCATAGAACTCCTAGTGCGCCTGAGTCTTACGTTGTGAAAATCCTTTTCTAAAACTTTAGATGTAAGAGGATAGAAATGATATTGGATGAGATCAGGCTGGATGAGAACTGATACCTGTAGATATATTTTTTAGATGAAATCTCTGATTGCCACACGTTTTCTTATTGAACTCATAAAAATAAAACACACTGGCTGGAGGGTGGAAGTAGGAAGGAGATTTATGTCTTTTAATTGCATGTCATTGTTTCATATTGAGACAGAACATATAGTATCCCTGGCTTTGGACCTACAGAAGGAAACACATTTTTCTACCTGCTGTATGGCAGAGGTTCCTGAGCACCTGGAGGGATTATTGCAGCACGGATTGCTGGGCCCTACTGCAGAGTTTCTGATTCATTCGTGTCTAGGGTGGGGCCTGAGAATTTACATTTATAAGAAGTTCCCAGGTGCTCCTGGTCCGGAGACTACATGTTTGAGAGCCACCCTTACATACTAACTGTAAATTGTAGAACTCTAGAAAAAAGCGTAGTTTGGACTGGGAGAAGAAGCACACAGGTAATGGAGCAAATCATGAAAAAGTCAACCCTTGATCCCAGGTAACAAGCAATACACAGTGACATAACACAATTCTTGGTTTTCATGATTGCAAGTCATAGCCAAGTATCGAGTGAGAAATTCAGTTTCATTTTCAGGGCTTAGAGGCCAGGTGATTCTAGAAAAATCGGATTTAGTGATTAACTCATGAGAGTAGGAGTTATTTATGTCCTTTTTCTCTCCCCCATCACTTAGCATTTAGCCTTACTTTAGAAGGGTCCTGTATTTGCTTTAACCTTGTAAAGAACTTTGAGTGCTTATTAAATGGAAAGCCTTGTGTGTGTGTGTGTGTGTGTGTGTGTGTGTGTCTGTGCGTGTGTGTGTGTGTGTGTGTATTTAGAGACAGAGTCACATTCTGTAGCAGCCCAGGCTGAAGTGCAGTGGCATGATTTTGGCTCACTGCAACCTCTGCCTCACAGGTTCAAGGGATTCTCCTGCCTCAGCCTCCCAAGTAGCTAGGATTACAGGCACCTGCCACCATGCCCAGCTACTTTTGTATTTTTAGTAGAGACAGGATTTCATCATGTTGGCCAGGCTGGTCTTGAACTCCTGAATTCGGGTGATCCACCCGCCCCAGCCTCCCAAAGTGCTGGGATTACAGGCATGAGCCATCACGCCTGGCTCAAAGCTTTGTATTTTTAAAGATATTAGACATGTTTCTTGTTTGTTTGTTTTTTTTAAAAAAACTAAACGCTAATGTAGGAGAATAAGAGAAAGTTTTTCCAAAAAAGAGAAAACATTGTGATTATCTTATTGGAATGTTGGATAATAAAGTCTGCTTTATCAATCATCAAGCACACTATAAAATTTCCATTTTAATAGGACTTGTACCTCAATTGAGGTAATAAAGTTTTAAAGTTTTTAAAGTGAAAGCCAGCCCCGCCCCTCTCCTGGAGTGGGCGGGGACAGCGGTTGCATAGGCAGCTTTCCTTGTGACAACACAGGTCCTTGATGACACGCTGCTGTCTGGCCACACCTCCTTTTCCTTTCATCTTTCTCATTGACCAATGGGCTTCAAGCATGAAGGCCACACCCCTATTCTGCATTCTAGTGCAGCCCTGGTTACGCCTCCTCTGGCTCAGTCACACAGCGACGTAGAGGTGACTGGAGGTATATACTTGTCCTCACCTGGATCATGCTGATGTGGCCCCAACCCCACCTCCCTACCCATCCCCACCTCCCTACCCATCCCCACCTCCCTACCCATCCCCACCTCCCTACCCATCCCCACCTCCCTACCCATCCCCACCTCCCTACCCATCCCCACCTCCCTACCCATCCTATGATGTCCAAAGAAACCAGACAGAGCAAATTGGCCGAGGCCAAGGAACAGGTAAACGCACCAACACCCCAACCCAACCCGAGGCCCCCTCTGACAGCCGAACTGCTGCCAGAGTCTGTGCCACTCCTGAGGGACACCAGGCTGGGCCCCCCACCCCAGTGCCTCTGGGCTCCCCACACCAAAATCTTGTCAGCCAGCCCAACCCCCTCATAAGTCCTGCCCCTGCTCTGCCCGGCACACCAGGGTGACTTTGAGCAGGTGACTCCTGGGGCTTCCAACTCCATACTCCGCCCTTACCTCCTGCTACCCCAAACCCGACCTCCCTGGGCTCCTTGAGCTCACATCTCCAAGGACCTGGGTGCCCCAGAACCTGCCCTCACCAGTTGCCACAGGGTGACTTTGGGGATGTGACTCCTGGAGCTCCTTGCTCCTTAATTGGCCCTCACCTCCTGCCGCCCCAAGCCTGACCTCCCGGGGCTCTTTGGGGTCACGTCTCCAAGGACCTGGCTCCCAATTTTGTGACCCCCTCCCCAGTCTCAAAGCGGCAACTTGGGCATTGCACTCATGTGTCCCCCCCAACCACTCCACCGAGGAGTAGAATGTAGTGATGTCACAGTCCCGCTACAAACTGTCATTACTACCACAAGACCGGCCTTTGGTCTTAGGACCCAGTCCCCTAAGTGTTCTTGCCCACTTCTGTTTCCTCTGGTTGCAGCACAGGTTTCCAGCTGGAAGGGGAATGGGGACTGTGGGACCTAGAAGAGAGAGGTTTCAGGCTGCCTGACTTCCTTACCACAGACCTTGACAGTGTGAAAAGCCTACACCTCCCCCATGAGCTCAACACGTTGACAGTGTCTCTGGGTGGCAATGGGAGAACGGGTTTGGTTTGGTTTTCTCCCAGGCTTCTACTCTCCAGAGAGATTTTAACATTTTTTCTCAGTTCTGCACCTCAGATTTGAATTCTCCATTGTTCTGGGACCAGAGTGCCCCTCAGTCACTGGTTCTGGAGTGAGATCTGCTTATCTTCTGTGGAACAGATCTTGGGAAACTGAACTTAGCTTGAGTCTTCCTCATCTCATCTCAACCTGGGGTACTTTGAGTGCCACAGGATAAATATGGGGCATCTTTCTGAAGCATCAGTTTCCCTTGATTCTATTGAGAGGCAAAACATTAATGTACTTAGGGATGAAAGTCACGTAGATTTATAAGCGTATACAAGACTTCTCTCTGAAATGAGGCTTGGGTTGTCCTCTTTCTGTTAAATTCCCAGATTTAGCAGAAAGGCTGCCTTCTGCCATGAGGAGACATTGATGTAAAGGTTTGAGAGGTACTGGTGTACTTTTTAACACTAACAGACGTGTGAGGGTGAATAACCCTAAACCACATAGTGCACAGTTCCTGCCTACTTAATATTTGCTTTTCTACCTCTGCCTCTGGTTTTGGTCCCTGGCAGCTGCTGATTTAGGGCAAAATCCCAGAGCTCAGAGTCAGAAGACTGAGTTTAAGTTCCATTACTGCCTTTTTTTTCAGCCATGGTATCAATCTCTCTCAGTCACTAAGTGATTGTGACAACATTTCCTACAGTTGGTGGCATTAAATCAGATGGTCTATAAGAGTATTTAGTATAAACTGTAAAGCAGGATGTGACTGTAGGAGCTTGTAGTTCTCATGAGTATCACTGCTCTTCCTTTCCACAGTTGACAGACCATCATCCCCAGACCAACCCTAGTGTTGGTACAGCAGCAAGCGACACCAAAAAGAAGAAAATAAATAATGGCACTAACCCTGAGACAACCACTTCTGGTGGTTGCCACTCGCCTGAGGATGTGAGTCTTGGCTGGCCGGGCTCCTGGGGACAGAGGGCCCAAGGGGTGGTGGAGGGTAATTGTTAAGATTGTGGAAGAACTGCCAGGTACTGGCTAAGAATTCTGGGTTTGAATCCTACCCCTCCATCTGCTAGGGACATGATTTAGCGCAAATTGCTTGAGCTCTTTGGGCCTCTCTTTTCACATCCGTAAAATACGAGTGGTATTGTTTTCCTTACGTTTGTGAAGTTTAAATGAGATTTGTCATTGTGTTTTTATGTTAATCCCTCGTCCAGGACCTGCTGTAAACTCTCCTTCTTGGGCTTGCGTTTCCTGAGGTAGAGTTAGAGAGTATCAGAGGTTTCTGTTAGCTCTGAGAGCCCGAGAGTTAAAGGCCCACTAGAATGGAAACCTCGGGGCCAAGGGCTCCTGTCTGCCTTTTCTGACCTCTATTCCCGCTGTGAAGAACCGTCCCTGGCCCGTATGTGCTCAACGTTTGCTGAGTGAATGCACCTTTCTAAATCACAAGCTGGCGGAAGGGTGGGCTTTTCTCGCACTCCACCTCTGAAGGTTTCTGTTACTGTCTTTTCAAGAGAATCTAGTTTCAGACTTTGAGTTCTGTGGCTGTGGGCAAAAACCAAAAAGACCCAAATCCTTCTTCTTTGGGAGTTGAGGAGAGTTGACCAGTTCATGTTCCCATTGGGTCTGAGAACTGTGCCTTTTAAATCCATTCCTGGCCCCTGCCTATCGCTTCCTGGCCTGGGGAATAGAGTCAAGGGGGCCACCCTCAGTCACCTTCCTTTGACTCTCCCCACAGAAACAATAGAACCGAGCTCAGCTGGAAGAAGTAGTGTGATTTCTTTGCTCACGACATGACCGCTGGGTTTGGGGGCACTCAGATGTAGAGGCCCCAGCCTCATCTCACCCACTCCCAGCCTGGGGAAGAAGGCTCACCCCCAAGATTCCACCCCATCCCCACAGGGTCCCTGATAAACTGGTCCCATGGGTGGGCCTGTTCTGGGGCAGTGGTGCCATTCTGGGGGCATGTCTCTTGCTGTGGATCTCTGCCTCCCCCTAGTAAGAGCTCTGTTTTCCTCTTTCTATAGGAACAGAAGGCAAGCCACCAACATCAGGAAGCCCTAAGGAGGGAGCTAGAGGTGAGTGGAGGGTGTGAAGTTCCCTCCTGCCCTCTGGAGAATGTTTCTTTGCTTCTCTTTCAGCATTTGCTTGTCTTTTCTCCCAAAGGCCCAGGTTCATACCATACGAATCCTTACATGTCAGAAAACTGAGCTTCAGATGGCACTCTACTACAGCCAGCATGCTGTCAAGCAGTTGGAAGGTGGGAATCTGGCACCCCATCATCCTTCAACCTGGCACTTTGACAGGCCTTTAGGGGGAGTCCTTTGGGCCACATCTGAATGTCTCTCATTCCAGGAGAGGCCAGGGATCTGATCAGCCGCCTGCATGATTCATGGAAGTTTGCAGGAGAGTTAGAGCAGGCTCTCTCTGCTGTCGCTACACAGAAGAAGAAGGCGGATAGGGTGAGTCCAAACACGGCCCCGTCCCTTGGGAGCCCAGCTTCGCAGATGGAGGAGTGAGCCTAAAGGTCCCTTCTGTAGGATGGAGTGTCCTGCCCAGAAGGCAGCATGGCCATTTCTTGCTGCTTTTGTGTGTGGTTGTTAGAGGCAGACTGGGGCTGAGTCGGCTGTTGTGGGTGAGTTGGGGAGCACTGTGAGGAGCGAGCACTGGACATAGAGCTCAGAGGCCAAGTGCCCGCCCTGCCCATATTTGGCTGTGGCCTTGGCCAAGTCCTAAGTGGCGGTTAGGGTACTTGTACCATAAAGGTACAGAAGAGTATCTTGAGTATGTTATTATTTGTGTGGAGAGAGGGGGCAGGTGTATATGTGTGTGTGTGTACGTATTATGGTAACATACATAAAACACGTTTGTAAGGATTCATTAAAAAACTCAGGATAGAGGCACAGTGTTGGGGGGAGATATTTCCCTTCTGGACTTTCTGAGTTTTGGACTATGCGAACGTATCATCCTTTCAAAAATTCAACAAAGGATTAATTTCCTCCTTCTTAACTGTGCCCCTACCTCCAGCGGAAGAATGGGCTTAGAGAATCAGATATACCTGGGTGTTGAAATCCCAGCTCCAAGTGATCTTAGGCAGCACTTAACCTTTAATACCGCATGTTTTTCATCTACACAATAGAGGTAATAATGGTAACCGTCTCCTATGGAGGTTGTGAGGATTAAATGGGATTGTTAGCATAGTGCCTGGTGAAGCACTCAAGAAAGGTTCGAACAATGGTAGTACTAACAGTAATAACAATAACAATATTATCTGATCGCTCTGGGCCCCTGTTAGCCAGCTCTAAATTCAATCTCTTTCCCTGTCCCTTCCACATCCACTGAGTTCTTTGAAAAACAAATGAGGGCCAGGTGCTCTCGCTCACGCCTGTAATGCCAGCACTTTGGGAGGCTGAGGTGGGCGGATCACCTGCGGTCAGGAGTTCAAGACTAGACTGACCAACACGAAGAAACCCCGTCTCTACTAAAAATACAAAATTAGCCCGGTGTGGTGGCACATGCCTGTAATCCCAACTACTCGGGAAGCTGAGGCAGGAGAATTGCTTGAACCCAGGAGGTGTAGGTTGTGGTGAGCTGAGATTGTGCCATTGCACTCCAGTGAGGGCAACAAGAATGAAACTCTGCCAAAAAAAAAAAAAAAAAGAAAGAAAGAAAGAAAGAAAAACAAATGAGACCATGGGCTTGGAAATGCCTTGAGAACACGTCAGGTGTGATTGAGAGTGAGGAAGTGTTACTGTGGAGTAGTCACTGTAGCAGTTGTTCCTGGTCGTCCAGCTACTGCTGTGCCTGCTCTATCCTGACTTAACCTTTCTCTATTTGCAGTACATTGAGGAGTTAACAAAGGAGAGGGACGCCCTGAGTCTGGAACTGTACAGGAACACGTAGGATGGGGGAAGGTGGAATGGGAGGTCTGGGGGCCCTTAGCATGGGTGGTGTGCTGGGAGGTGGGGGGTCCAGGTGAGTGTGGGGAGAGGCTCATACATGTTTTCATGTGTGCACACGGAAGCTCTAGTGCTGGCTGTGCCACTGACTCATGGGGTAGCCTCAGGCAACTCATGTCTTCTCTCTGGCCTGCCACCTGGGACTTTTAATTCCTGGGGTCCCTTCCAGCGCCACGGTTCTGTGGTTGTGGGGCGAGGGTAGGGGGTCAATCACCAAAGTGGTCTTTTATGTTCTTCATTCATTCCTTTCTCTACTGCCTCTGGCCATAGCATAACTGATGAGGAGCTGAAGGAGAAAAATGCCAAACTACAAGAAAAACTTCAACTTGTAGAATCTGAAAAGTCTGAGATCCAGCTCAACGTAAAGGAGCTAAAAAGGAAACTGGAGAGGGCCAAGCTCCTGCTGCCACAGGTGAGCAGCTGCAGCCCCGGGGGTTGTGGGAGACCCATCCAGCTGGGACCATGGTCTAGGGATCATGCAGGGTATGGGGAGGCTCCAGCCAAGAGCTGGAAAATTTGGGTCCTTGTTCTGGTCCCGCCATAGAATCCTCTAGAGTGTACTAAAAATGTACAAATTGGGGCCCTGCCTGGGGAATCAGAATCTCAAGAGTTAGGGCTTAAAAATATTTTTTTAAAGGATCATGGATGAAAACCATTATTTTATAGATTACATTTATTTATTTATTTATTTATTTATTTATTTATTTATTTGAGAAGTAGTCTCACTCTGTCACCCAGGCCAGAGTGCAGTGGCGCAATCTCGGCTCACTGCAAGCTCCACCCCCCGGCTTCACGCCATTCTCCTGCCTCAGCCTCCCAAGTAGCTGGGACTACAGGTGCCCACCACCACACCCGGCTAATTTTTTTGTATTTTTAGTAGAGACGGGGTTTCACTGTGTTAACCAGGATGGTCTCGATCTCCTGACCTCGTGATCCGCCCACCTCGGCCTCCCAAAGTGCTGGGATTACAGGCGTGAGCCACCGCTCCCAGCCTATAGATTACATTTATGTGGCTAGCTCATGATTCTGCTTCCTTCTGAGGTTCAAAAAAACACTTTCACTATTCCAGCAGCAGCTGCAGGCGGAGGCTGACCACCTGGGTAAGGAGCTGCAGAGTGTGTCAGCAAAGCTCCAAGCCCAGGTGGAAGAGAACGAGTTGTGGAACCGCCTGAACCAGCAACAGGAGGAGAAGATGTGGAGGCAGGAGGAGAAGATACAGGAGTGGGAGGAGAAGATACAGGAGCAGGAGGAGAAGATACGGGAGCAGGAGGAGAAGATACGGGAGCAGGAGGAGAAGATGCGGAGGCAGGAGGAGATGATGTGGGAGAAGGAGGAGAAGATGCGGAGGCAGGAGGAGATGATGTGGGAGAAGGAGGAGAAGATGCGGAGGCTGGAGGAGATGATGTGGGAGAAGGAGGAGAAGATACGGGAGCTGGAAGAGAAGATGCACGAGCAGGAGAAGATACGGGAGCAGGAAGAGAAGAGGCAGGAGGAGGAGAAGATACGCGAGCAGGAGAAGAGGCAGGAGCAGGAGGCGAAGATGTGGAGGCAGGAGGAGAAGATACGGGAGCAGGAAGAGAAGATACGGGAGCAGGAGAAAAAGATGTGGAGGCAGGAGGAGAAGATTCACGAGCAGGAGAAGATACGGGAGGAGGAGAAGAGGCAGGAGCAGGAGGAGATGTGGAGGCAGGAGGAGAAGATAAGGGAGCAGGAGGAGATATGGAGGCAAAAGGAGAAGATGCACGAGCAGGAGAAGATACGGAAGCAGGAGGAGAAGGTGTGGAGGCAGGAGGAGAAGATGCACGACCAGGAGGAGAAGATACGGGAGCAGGAGGAGAAGATGTGGAGGCAGGAGGAGAAGATAAGGGAGCAGGAGGAGAAGATACGGGAGCAGGAGGAGAAGATACGAGAGCAGGAGGAGATGATGCAGGAACAGGAAGAGAAGATGGGGGAGCAGGAAGAGAAGATGCAAGAACAGGAGAAGATGCGGAGGCAGGAGGAGAAGATAAGGGAGCAGGAGGAGAAGATACGGGAGCAGAAGGAGAAGATACGAGAGCAGGAGGAGAAGATATGGGAGCAGGAGGAGAAGATACGAGAGCAGGAGGAGATGATGCAGGAACAGGAAGAGAAGATGTGGGAGCAGGAGGAGAAGATGTGTGAGCAGGAAGAGAAGATGCAAGAACAGGAGGAGAAGATGCGGAGGCAGGAGGAGAAGATGTGGGAGCAGGAAGTGAGGCTGCGGCAGCAGGAGGAGAAGATGCAGGAACACCAGGTGAGGCTGCAGGAGCTGGAGGAGAGGCTGGGGAAGCTGGGGCAGAAGGCCGAGCTCTTGGGGGGAGCAGGCGGAGGTGTGTGCAAACCCTGGAGATCATACAGAACGACCTCACCACAACTTAGCAGATGGTGGTTGGCTCCCTCTGCTTTTCCACCAGTCTGTGGCCTACAGTTTAAATGGTGGGAAGAAGGGTGTGAGATTTGAGGCTGGGGAGGGAGGCATGGGCCTCTAGGCAAGGGAGGCAGTCATTTAGGCCTGGAGGAAGGGGCCAGGGCCAGGGGCCTGGGTAGGCGACAGAGCCCCGCAGTGCCCTCACTACCCTGTTTATGGGCCCAGAATCTGGAAGCCAGCCACTACCTACCCTGACGCCTATCCTGCAGGTGGAGCTGAAGAGCCAAGAGGCTGAGTCTGCAGCAGCAGCGAGACCATTACCTGGGTCACCTGCAGCAGTACGTGGCCGCCTATCAGCAGCTGGCCTCTGAGAAGGAGGCACTGCCCAGCTGCAGCAGCAGGAAGCTCAGGGCGAAGCGGTGGCCGAGATGGCCCACCAATAGTTGCAGGAGACCCGGTTGAGGGAGTTGATGAGGGCGGGGCCCCAAGGGGGATGATCTGGCAACCTCCGTGCCTTCTCACTCTCTTTCCTGGCCCCTTAGGAGCACCTGGAAGCTGCCATCTAATGAGCACATGACAAGAAGGCAAAGACAATAAACATGTAAAAGCCGGCAGCAAGGCCTGGAGAAGAGTAAGCCGCCATGTGACTGTTTAGAATATAGTCTGAGCACAAACCTGAAAAAAAAATTTTATTTATTTTAAATTGTGGCAAAATACTGGCCAGGCATGGTAGCTCACGCCTGTAATCCTAGCAATTTGGGAGGCCGAGGTAAATGGATGACCTGAGGTCAAGAGTTCAAGACCAGCCTGGCCAATACAAAAATTAGCCGGGCATGGTGGCGCATGCCTGTAATCCCAGCTACTTGGGAGGCTGAGGCAGGAGAATCGCTTGAACCTGGGAGGCAGAGGTTGCAGTGAGCTGAGATCGTGCCACTGCACTCAAGCCTGGGTGACAGAGCGAAACTCCGTCTCAAAAAAAAAAGTTTCTTCCTTACATGTATGTTTCTATTAGTTTTCTTCTTGGTCTTTCTCATTTAGTCTTGTGTTGTCTTTTGACATTCATAGTAAACTTTTATCTGCCTCCAGAGAGTATTGACTTTGAGTTTATGGCACACAATTGGAGTAAGGGCAGATCGCCTTCATCTACTTTGGGACTAAGCTGGTTCAAAGCAGGTTTTAGGTTTTCTGATGGCTGGTCTATGTTTTATTCATTTGGACTCCCAGGGGTGGCCCTTCCAGGGTCCCCACCAAGGTCCCATCTCCTTCCTGGGACCCAAATTCTCATTAGGTCATTTCAGCCCTGTGAGAGTGCCAAACATTCAGCTAGGCTCTCCAGCCTCTTAACTACCACTTCATACTCAGTTTCTTAGCCTCTTAGCCCTCTACTGTTGACCAATCACCAAATGTGGGAAAGCACTACAGACTGTCAGGATCACCTCCTAGGCCTGGTCACTCAAGTCCTGACTGAGGTCTCCAATTACCTTCCAACAATTGTTTTTGATTGGGGGCGGGGCACATTTTTATCCAGTTTTTCTAACTGCTCTTGTGGGGAGGCGAATCTGTAACAAGCTCCTCTGCCTTTACTGAAAGTTGAAAACCTTCATCTGTCCTTTTTTTGTTGTTGTTGAGATGGAGTCTTGCGCTGTTGCCCAGGCTCTAGTGCAATGGCACGATCTCTGCTCACTGTAACCTCTGCCTCCTGGGTTCAAGCAATTCTCCTGCCTCAGCTTCCCGCGTAGCGTGTGCCACCATGCCTGGCTAATTTTTTTTTATACCTTTAATAGAGGCAGGATGTCACCATGTTTTCCAGGCTGGTCTCGAGCTCCTGACTCAGGTGATCTACCTGCCTCAGCCTCCCAAAGTGCTGGGATTACAAGTATGAGCCACTGCATCCGGCCCATCTGTCTTTTAAAACATGTTTTTAATTGGAGGTATAATTTCTATTAGTGAAATGCACAGGTCTGGTTTACATTTTGATGAGTTTTAACTCATTTAACATTACTATGGAACCCACCTCCTTTGAAGATACAGAGTATTTCTATCATCCAGAAAGTTCTCCTGTGCTTTCATGCTGTCCCGCACTCCCCCAGCAGCTGATGAACATGCTGAGGACATTGGTACTGGATTCTGGCCGCCCCAAAAGAGCCGCTTTGACCAGGCTTACCCAGCACTAAATCCCTGCCTGCTCTCTCAAAATTTCCATCTTTAAACTGGTTGTACCTATAACCCTCCCTCATCAAGTCAATAGATAAACAAACCCTGAAAAATAAACAACTCTTCCTGGCCCAGCAGCCCACAGCCTAATATTTACTGTATTCCCAGGCTTTCAGAAATGTAACTCGCCTGCCGGTTCACCCTCACTAGGGCGGCAGCTGCACGGGAGCAGCTGGGCTCACCCATTAAGCAAGAAGCCAATAGCTGGACAGTGACACTCAGACCCCAGCCTGGGCGAGCCTGGCTGAAAGCCCCCTTCTTTCCATCCGACTGTGGAGAAAGGGGGCGGAGCACACACAACTCTACTGCCCTCCACATCCTTCACCTGTGCTTCCTCCTGGGAGAGGGAGCCGCTCCTTAATTTGGCCAAAGCCTTCTTGAGGGCTGTAGGTTTCACAGGCTGGGTGTGTGGGGGCCACCGTGCTAGAGACAGAGGCTGGTGTGTCAGAAGGCAGCCACCTGGCCAGAGGGGGGTCAACCCCCTTGGTGACCTCCTTCCCCCGGCTGGACACAGTGCCCTGCACTCTCTACATGTGACTGTTCCCCTCAGAGCTGCTTCCAGGGGAGGGGTTCTAATCCTGTGGGTGGGGACATTGTGTTACTTTACAGTGGGCCATGGCTCCCTCTGACATCTCCAACTCAGAGGCAGTAGAGAGAAGATGAGAAATTCCCTGCCCCTCCTCCCTCAGCACCCCCACCTCTGCACACGTCCACATGTGGAGACCCTGACAATGGGCCCTGGGAGTGCCGCCATCTGTGCCTGCTTTCCATGCCTGCAGCAGCCATGCCCACTCTCCAGACCCTCACCCGCCTGGGTCAGTAGACGCTTCACTGCCTGTGGTCCTGCGCCTACACCTGGGCCTCTGTACCCGTCAGTTCCCCCAGTCTGGTTCTTATTCCCTGCAAAGAGTAGGGAGCCTGTAAGGTCACCTGTTGAGCAAGCTGGGGGAGAAAAGTAGGGTGGGGATGGGAGGATCAGGATGAGAAGCTCATGGTCGTGCTGGAGACTCAGCTGAGCAGAGTCTCTGCAGGCCCATTGGCTGCCTAGCCAGTGGTGATCTCGCTCCCACCCTCATTTCTTCTTTGTTAACAAAACCATGACCTCATTAAATACTGGACACCTATAAACCTCATGGACCCTCCTCCAGCCTCCCCACCGTGTACCGGTGAGTCTAAGTCAACTCTAGTCATTTCATTCCTCTGGACATTGACTGCTTAGGGCTTGGGCATGAGCTGCCTCTTCACCTGAGCCTGAGCCACAGGTACCCTCTGCACCTACCACGCTGATGCACTGGGCCAGGGAGAGCGCCGTCTGGATGGAGATGAGCTGTGAGGAGCTGGTGGCTGGGCGGATCAGGTTGTTGTAACAGGTTTTGTTCAGAAGGTCGTCCATCAGTTTCTGCTCGGCATGGGCCATGCGGCAGTCCCCTGGGTAAACACACAGACATGCTGGGCCCTTGTGCAGCTGTCTCCCACTGCAGCTGACAGCTATGAAGCAGGAGCTGAGAGGGCCAGGGAGCACAGACACCCTGAGAGCTGGCTGAAGCAGTGAAGGGGCTGGCCGGCCTGGCTCTCCCTGGGGACTTCAAATGACATTCACGACAGAGCTCAGCTACCTCCTCCCCATGCCATACCTCTTCCTCCTCCTCCTCCCTCCGTCAATGAACAGCATCCCACGCTCTACACATCTGATACAAAACTGGGTGTCTCTTCCTGACTCCTCCCTTGGTTCACCCAAGTGGCCACCAAGTCCTGTCTGTCCTCCCATCTCCACGGCTACAGCCATGTCCCTGCCTCCCCTGCCCTGCCCACCTTCTATTCTCTCCACCTGCACTCTGCCCCTGCCATCCATGTGCCATACAGTGGCAGACTGATCTTTCTACAGCAAACTGGACGAGGGCCCTTCCCTACCCACAGCTCTCAGAGCTGGAGGTGGAGTTGAAGCTCATGTTTTGGCTTGGCATTCAGAGCTCTTTCCCCCTCAGCACTGGCTTATCCAGAGTGCTCACAGTGCAGGGCAGGAGCCTCGTGACTCAAATGTGGGTTTGGTGCAGAACTGGGTCTGAGGTGGTGCTTTCCCTGTGAAGAGACAGGGCCGACATGGGGGAATTTTCTGGGTTCAAAGTTAGACCTAGAGAGTGCAAAGTTTCTCTGAGGCACCAAATGGAGGGGTCCAGCTAGCAGCTGGCTCCTGGTCTGGAGCTTCAAGGAGAGGTCTCAGCTCAGAGCCACATTCAATAGCCAGCTTACATGTGGCCTCCTGCAGGGAGCCCCTGGAGCTTCCACAGCCTCCGTTCTGCCCCTCTGCATACCCCAGATCTCCTGCTAAGTGGCGTTTGGGTCTTCATGTCATCTCCCTCCCATGTCTGGGAGTAAAGGTGAGGTGCAGGGACTTGCGCTTGTGTACTCTGGTGTCTTAAGGGAGAGTGTGTCAAGTAGAGTGGAGGCGGCTTGGAAAGAGGGAGACTCAGAGGAGAGTGAAGGACACATGACCAGGCGAGCCTGGGAGCAGGAAAAGAGAGTGAGCAGAGGCAACTGCTGGGTCAGGGGAGCGGATGGGAGGATCAGGGAATGCGGGGGGGCTGGAGAGGTAGGGGTGGGGACGTTGGCGAGGGGCTGCCTGGCTCGCCAGGCTCAGGAGTCAGTTACATCCTCCCACAAGGGCCAGCTCACCTGGTCGCCCCAAAGACCTCCCTCTGTGGGTGGGATCAGAGGGCCAAGAGCACGGATAACCCAATTGAGCAGGACTGAGGCGGACTCAGGTGGGTGCTGGGCCGGACTCCTGGCTGTGGGGAGCAGCCGCCACCCTGCCTATTGCATCCACTTTCCAACTCGCTGCCTATCTGAGCAGATGCGATATTGGGCACCTTGTGAAACATGCTCCTGGTGCACCTGCTGCCTGCTGCCCCTCCTGCAGAGTGCCCGGGCTCTCCAGAGGGGATTCCTATGGAGGCTTGGCCTAGATTCTGAGTCCTGCCTCTCATACCTGGGGCTGCTACCCCAGAGGCCAGCTGCTTGAGTACCCCGGAAGCCAGCCTGTAGCCCCAGGCTACAGCTGGGTCCATCCCACAGCCCTTCTCTAATGTACCTATTTGGACTGGCTGCTCATTTCATAGAGAGGGGTGTGTCTTGCCCCAGACCATCTGGCATGTCTAAGGCAGCTGTGGGGTCAGAATCTGCAGCTCCCAGCCCTCAGCCCAGCAATAGTAGGAAAGGCTGGACCCCACATCTCTGAAGTCCCGCTGGGTTGGTGCGAGCGGGCTCCCGAGTACAGGGCTGCTCTGCAGGCTGTGGGGCTCATGCGCCAGCTCTGAGCCCACCTGATGTGCTCACGTTGCTCACCTTTGGGCCTGTCCGGCCTCTCAGGCATTCGGCTGACCCTGAGGGCCTCTCCCTCATCTTGACCACCAGCTACGGGCTCTGATTTCTCAGGGATCTAGAACTACAAATACCATTTGACCCAGCCATCCCATTACTGGGTATATACCCAAAGGATTATAAATCGTGCTGCTATAAAGACACATGCACACGTATGTTTATTGCGGCACTATTCACAATAGCAAAGACTTGGACCCAATCCAAATGTCCAACAATGATAGACTGGATTAAGAAAATGTGGCACACATACACCATGGAATACTATGCAGCCATAAAAAAGGATGAGTTCATGTCCTTTGTAGGGACATGGATGAAGCTGGAAACCACCATTCTCAGCAAACTATCGCAGGGAAAAAAAAAACAAACACCGCATGTTCTCTCTCATAGGTGGGAATTCAACAATGAGAACACATGGACACAGGAAGGGGAACATCACACACCGGGGACTGTTGTGGTGTTGGGGGAGGGGGGAGGGATAGCATTAGGAGATATACCCAATGCTAAATGACCCGTTAATGGGTGCAGCACACCAACATGGCACATGTATACATATGTAACAAACCTGCACGTTGTGCACATGTACCCTAAAACCTAAAGCATAATAATAAAAAATAAAAATATAATAAAAACAAAAGTCCTGTGAACCTCAGATGGTGAGTATAATACTTCAGCACTAGCACAAAAGCCTCAAATATAAAAAGATACCAAGAACACCACTAGCAAACAAAAGTAAGCTCTCAGTCACGAGCAGTAGTTCACACCTGTACTCCCAGCATATTGGCAAGCCAAGGTGGAGTAAGTTAGGAGTTCAAGACCAGCCTGGGCAGCATAGCGAATTCACAGCTCTACAAAAAAAAATTAAACATTAGCTGGGCATGGCGTCACACACCTGTAGTCCTAGCTACTTGGGAGACTGAGGTGGGAAAATCACTTGAGCCCAGAAGTTTGAGGCTGCAGTAGCTATGATCATGCCACTCCACTCCAGTTGGGGTGACAGAGCAAGATCTAGATATTACATTCTGTCCTGCTCCTCTTTCCAGTAAAATCATTAAGTTAAAATGTTTTCATTCAGCAACATAAAAATTAAGTGAAATGTGACTTTGGTGCTTGGCTAGCAAAATATAAATAAATAAAGCGAAATGACAAATTACTTATGAGGAGAAAGTCTTTGTAACCTCAATGACATTAAAGGTTTGTATCCTTAGCCTATAAAGAAAAATTTAAAATTACTCAGAAAAAAAAAATGAATGATTTCCAGCAGAAAATGGGCAGTAGAGAAACCGGCACTTCCCACAAGAATAAAAATAGCCAATGAGCATATGAAAAAGATTCAAAAGCACTAGAAATCAAAGAAATATAATGAAAACAATGAGATTTTCTGCTTAAAGACCAGCGAAGATGACAAATGGAAGGGGGAACCTGGAGCTCTGTCCCTGTTGGTGGGAGTATAAACTCAACCAATTTTCCTATAGGATGATTTGAACATTTCTTTTAAAAATCCTAAAACTGTTTTATATTACTTTCCTCTAGAAATTCTACTTGTATGAATTCAGTGCAAAAATCCTGACTCGAGTTCATTAAAATATATATAGAAGGAAATCCACCTCTGGGGTGGCAATGATTCACTTAACATACATCCAGCTATTGAAAGTGATGATGCCAGGATATATTTCTGCCATAGAAACATGCTTAAAATATAGTAAGTGACAAAAGACCATATATTATGATTCTACTTTTTAAAATGTTTATATGCATAAAAAGTGTAAAAAGCAACAAACCAAAATGTTTTCAGTGGCAAAATTAAAGATTTTTCTTTATATTTTGTCATCTAAATTATTACAAAAAGAGTGATTTCCTTTATAATCGGGGAGAAGTGTTATTTTCATTTATTTATATTTACATTTCTTTTCTTTTTCTTCTTTTTTCTACTCCATGTATTCCATGTAGGCTAGAGAGCTTAAATCCCTGCCTCTTGAGAGAAATCAGCCCATTTTCGGGACATGCAGTACACAAAGCTGCCCCATCTTCCCTTTATTTTTATTTTTATCTTATTTATTTATTTATTTATTTATTTATTTATTTATTTATTTATTTTGAGATGGAGTCTCACTCTGTTACCCAGGCTGGAGTGCAGTGGTGCATCTCAGCTCACTGCAACCTCCATCTCCCGAGATCAAGCGATTCCCCTGCCTCAGCCTCCCAAGTAGCTGGGACTATAGGCATGCACCACCATGCCCAGCTAATTTTTGTATTTTTAGTAGAGAGGAGGTTTTACCATCTTGGACAGCCTGGTCTTGAACTCCCGACCTCAAGTGATCCATCCGCCTTGGCCTCCCAAAGTGCTGGGATTACAGGCATGAGCCACCGTGCCAGGCCTATCATATTATTTCTAAAAATTTCAGTGACATTTCAATTAAGTGAAATTTAATTCTTACTGTCCTGATCTCTTATCCTCTGCTTAATGATATCTTCCAGTTGAAAGGTGTTTCCTCTGTAATCACAGGTGCTAAAGGAAATACAACATGTATTCATTAGGTGGATATCCACTAAACCACGGATTCACGCATTGTAGTCCTTAGACCCTCAGCATCAGAAACACGTGGGAACTTGTTAGACATGCAAATTCCTGGGCCAGCCCCACACCTCCTGAATCAGAAAGTGGGGAAGAAGGACAACTATCTGTGCTTTAATAAGCCTTGAAATGCTCCCTGAAGTTTGAAAACTACAGAACTAGAATACATATGGTAGTAAGTGCTCATACTTTATCCAAGGTACCTACGGACTCTTCCCCTCTTTTCCATTCTGTTTTCCATTGAAATAAAATGAGAGCTCCTTTTGACTTAATGGGTATAAGAAAGAAGGCAATGAGATGACCAGGGTTTCAAGTTAGAGTTCAAAATTTAATCAGTGGACAGTGACAGGATGCAAGCCTTCTAAACAGATTCTGCAAGGAAGCTGATTATAATCTATACAGTAGGTATCATTAGTGTATTGATGTTAAATTTTTGGGGTGGATTAACGGTATTGTGATTATATAGGAGAATGTCCTGGTTCCTAGAAGATATCTGTGAAAGTACTTAACAGTGAAATGCCACGATACTGGTAACTTACTTTGAAATGATTCAGGGGGAAAAAGGGCACATATACAATCTTCCATATGCGGAGGAGAGAAAACAAGTATGACAAAACCTTAATTGGTGAATCCAGTTGAATAGCATACCGATGTTCACTGTATTATTTTATCAACTTTTCTGTGTTTGCAAGTTTTAAAATAAAAAGTTGAGGGAAAAGAAACATCACCCCAAATCTTTCTATGAAATGGAACCATAGAAAAAGCATAGAAATGAACACTCTGCAGAAGAGGGCACCGTACCCATCCGGACAGCATGGTCAAAGCGTAGGCTCTCCTCCAGGAGGCTCTTCTCTGGTCTCTTCTGTGCTGTCACTTCCCCTACATGCAGCCAAGGCTTTTTTCTAACAACTCTTTTTCTAAAGGTGTAATTTTTTTCATTCATCTAAGAAAGAGACAAAACAATTAGTATACATTTAGAAAATAAAATTACACTTATACTTGTGTAAAAGCAAAAAATACTTTGAAAAGTGGGGAAGGAAGAAACGTACTGTTCTATAATTCTGTTCTGTTCTTACCATCTTTTTATTCTGCCAATGACTTCCTATTCCTGCTGCGTATGGTAGGGTGAGCTGCAAATGATTTCTTTTCCTCATTGATTTAAAATGTCATGTTTATAATATACTAAACTCCCCCAGAAGCATTTGGGTTTATTTCTGGGCTCTATTCTATTCAAGTGATCTATCTGTTCAAGTGATCTATCTGTTCACAAGCCACTATCAATTTTGATTATTAGAGCATCGTAAAGTTAAGTTAAATAATAATAATTATTATTATTATTTTGAGATGGAGTCTCTCGCTCTGTTGCCCAGTCTGGAGTGCAGTGGCGTGGTCTCGGCTCACTGCAAGCTCCACCTCCTGGGTTCATGCCATTCTCCTGCCTCGGCCTCCCAAGTAGCTGGGACTACAGGAGCCCGCCACCATGCCCGGCTAATTTTTTGTATTTTTAGTAGAGACAGTGGTTTCACCATGTTAGCCAGGATGGTCTCAATCTCCTGACCTTGTCATCCATCCACCTTGGCCTCCCAAAGTGCTGGGATTACAGGCATGAGCCACTACACTCAGCCAAGTAATTATTTGATTAGGATATTAGTATTTGATGGAGACTGACCCTTTTGACTCTAAACTCAAATTCTTATTATCTCTAACTTCTAAAAGACAGCAATTATGACTTCAGTGTATAAAATGCCAGCTTTTTCAGCTACCTTACAGAATTCTCTTATTTTCCTATATCAATTCAGTTTATCCATTTGGTCTTCTCTCCAAACACTCATGTTTTTATTTTAGTATCCTTAATCTTTTTTTTTTTTTTTGAGACAGAGTCTTGCTCTGTTGCCCAGGCTGGAGTACAGTTGGATGACCTCAGCTCATTGCAACCCCTCTGCCTCCCAGGCTCAAGCAGTCCTCTCACCTCAGACTCCCAAGTAGATGGGATCACAGGTGCATGTAACCACGCCCAGCTAATTTTGTATTTTTTGCAGAGATGAGGTCTCACCATGTTGCCCAGGCTGGTCTCAAACTCCTGAGCTCAAGTGCTGGGAGCTCCTGAACTCCCAAAGTGCTGGGATTACAGGTGTGAACCACTGCTCCCAGCAGTTTTCCTAATCTCTTATCTTTATCACACTATGACCACGTGAGATTACTCCAGGTATGCAAATGCTGTAGAATTTGAAAAACAATTAATGCAATGTATTATAGCAACAGCTACAAAAATCATAATGTCATATTAATTGATAGAGAAAAAGCATTTGACAAAATCCAATACCCATTCATGATGAAAGAAAAAAAAACTCTAAGAAAATTGGAGATAAAGAATAGGAATCAGAGTGACCTTCCTCCACTGATAAAGAACATCTACAAAAAATCTAGAGTTAACATTATCCTTAACATGGAAGCCTAAAAATGCTTTCCCTACAAGGCCAGAAACAAAGCAAGAACATCTGCTCTCACTGCTCTTATTCAACATAGTACTGGAAATTCTAGATACTAAAATAAGGCAATAAAAATAAAGGGCACACAAACAAGAGAGAAAAAAATACAACTGTCCACATTTACAGATGACATGATTGGCTATATAGAAAATCTCCTGGAACCTGCAAAAAAAACAAAAACAAAAACAAAAAACAACAACAACAAAAAACACCTAGAATTGATAAGTGAGTTTAGTAAGGTTGTAGAAGATAAAATCAAGAAACACAAAAATCACATCAGTTAAATGTGGAAACTGAAATTAATGATGCAATACCATTTACAATTGCTCCCCTCCAAAAAGAAATACTAGGTATATACTTAACAAAACATTATGAAATTATAGAATGCTAATGAAAGAAGGTTTTTAAAAAAGCTAAATAAATGGAGGGAGACACCACGTTTAAGGATCAGTAGACCATACAGTAAATATATCAACTATCCCTGTACTGATGCATTAGTTTAATGCAAGCCCAGCAAGGTTTTGGAAAATATGAACAAGCTCATTCCAAAACTTATCTGGAAAAGCATATAGGTCCCAGAACAGCTAAAACAATCTTAACAAAGAAGAATAAAAGGAGAGGACTCACTCTGTCCAATATTAAGCCTTATTATGATCAAGTAGTCTTAATTACAGTAATCAACACAATGTTGTATTGATAAAGGGACAGACACACAGATCAATGGAAAAGTTTAGAGAACCCATAAGTAGCCCCACACATGTATGTCCAAATGATTTTTGACAAGACACAAAAGTAATTCAACGCAGGAAAGATAGCCTTTTCAACAAGTAACACCAGAGCAATTAAATATCCACAGGCAAAAACCAAAACCAAAAGAAAACCTCTAACTAAACCTTATATTTTATATGGAAATTAACTCAAAATGGATCACAAACTTAAATATAAACATATAACCATGGAATACTATGCAGCCATAAAAAATGATGAGTTCATGTCCTCTGTAGGGACATTGATGAAGCTGGAAACCATCATTCTCAGCAAACTATCGCAAGGACAAAAAACCAAACACCACATATTCTCACTCATAGGTAGGAATTCAACAATGAGAACACATGGACACAGGAAGGGGAACATCACACACCGGGGCCTGTTGTGGGGTGGGGGGAGGGGGGAGGGATAGCATTAAGAGATATACCTAATGTTAAATGACAAGTTAATGGGTGCAGCACACCAACATGGCACATGTATACATATGTAACAAACCTGCACGTTGTGCACATGTACCCTAAAACTTAAAGTATAATTTTTAAAAAAGTGTATAACCATAAAAAATATTTTTTAAAACAAGAGAGAAAATCTTTGGACTCTAGACAGGGTTCTTATACTTGACATCAAAAATACAAACCATCAAAGGAAAAACTGATAAAGTGAACCCATTAAAATTCAAAACTTTGGTTCTGTAAAATATCCTGTTAAGAAAAGATGACAAGCTACACACAGAGAGAAAAAATTTGCAAACCATATATCTGACAGTGGGCTCATGTCTAAAATATATAAAGAACTCTCAAAATTCCACTTTTGGCCAGTAGAAGCTCCTTCACATTGGCTCCTGCATTCTTTTTAACATGACCTTAGAAGTCTCTGATAACTTCCTTGCTTTCAGGAAAGACATGTCCCAGCCTCAATTTGTTCATTTCTGGCCTAAATGTAAAGCTGTGCCAGAGACTTGGAACCTATTTATACAACAGACCATGATTTGAGTAGAAAATGGTACTTAGAAATTAAAACTTGAATACTAGCTTCTTAGTGTTATAAACTGAATTCTGTTCCCCTCAAAATTCACATGTTGAAGCCCTAATCCTCAATGTGACTATATTTGAAGATAGGTATGTATTTGGAGATAGGGCTGTATTTGGAGATTTAAGGGGGTAATTAAGGCTAAATGAGGTCATATGGGGGATGTCTAATCCAGAAGACAGCCCTCTATGTAAGCCAAGAAGAAAGACCTCACCAGAAACCAAACCTGCCGGGACCTTGATCTTGGATCTGTAGCCGATGAACTGTGAGAAAATAAATTTATGTTGTTTAAGTTGCCTGATCTGTGGTACTCTCTTATGACAGCCCAAGCAAACTAATACACATAGATAAAACTATGAAATATATAATTTCCTTAAAAAGATGGAAAAATAAATGAGTTTATCCTAACACTTTTGAGTCAAATTAAAGAAGAGAGAATTTTACTTAATTATATTTTTCTAATTGTACATTTAATTTTACACTAATAATATTGGTTATTATTGGAGTTAGCATAATTATTAGTTTCTTCACCATATATATAGAGACCATATACATATAGATATATAGATATATATATAAACACACCAGAGAGACATATATATACCATAGAGGCCACATATATATATACACACACACACATACACCATATATAGAGAGAGCATATATATACACACACACACCATAGAGCATATATATATATATACATGAAATATATAATTTCCTTAAAAAGATAGAAAAATAAATGAGTTTATCCTAACACTTTTGAGTCAAATTAAAGATGAGAGAATTTTACTTAATTATATTTTTATAATTGTACATTTAATTTTACACTAATACTGGTTATTATTGGAATTAGCATGATTATTAGTTTTCTCACCATATATAGAGAGAGACCATATATATATATATAGATATATATACAAACACACCATAGAGACATATATATACCATACAGGCCACATATATATATATACACACACACATACACCATATATAGAGAGAGCATATATATACACACACACCATAGAGAGCATATATACACACACACACAGAAACACACACCATATATATATATATATATATATAAAATAGTTTCAAATGGCAATACATATATTAACACTGACAACCAGAACACTGAATGCAGTTTAAGGTTTCTTAATGGGATTAAAATATATTATATTATGATTAAGATATATTATGATAGAAATATTCTGCCATAATACTGTAATTTAAAAGCATTCGCTTTAAACATCTCTTCTCTGGGGAATCATACCACAAACTTGACACACAGATTGCTTTCAATTTTTAAAGACCACTTTATTTTTATCATTTTTATTTTTAACATTATATAAAACATTTGCCTGGTTCTTAAGTCTAGACCATAAAGCAGGTACATTCAGAGAAGCATAGCTCATTCCTGGCCCTGCACCTTCCTTATTCTGTTTCTAATCCTGTAAACTATCACTCTTTTTAATTTATTTAACTTTCCATTCTGTCTTTTGTAAAATATTAGTAAAGGCACATATCTTCTCTGTTTTCACCCCCTTTCTTAGACAAAAGGTATTAATAGTATGCTATGAATAACTGTTCTACATCTGACTCTTATCAGGAGAATAATGTCTTGTAGATGACTCCATGGCTGTGTACAGACATCTTCCTTGTGCCTTTCCACAACTGTGTAGCCCTCCATTCTGGGGACTGTGATGGTTGGCAGAATGCTAAAGATCCCCCTGCCCCCAAAGCCCCACCATCCTGGCCATTCAAACACCAATCTAGATACTTCCGCTGGTCCCCAACTTACATTAATTCAACTTGCAATTTTATGATATTTTAGTTTGCGATGGTACAAAAACAATATTCAGTAGAAACCATATATGGAATACTCGTACAACCATTCTGGTTTTCACTTTCAGGGTGGTATTCAATAAATTACATGAGATATTCCACACTTTATTATAAAAACAGGCTTTGTGGGCAGGGTGCAGTGGCTCACACCTGTAATCCCAGCACTTTGGGAGGCCAAGGCAGGTGGATCACTTGAGGTCAGGAGTTTGAGATCAGCCTGGCCAACATGGTGAAACCCCATCTCTACTAAAAATACAAACAGTAGTCAGGCATGGCAGCACACACCTGTAATCCCAGCTACTCGGGAAGCTGAGGCAGGAGAATCACTTGAATCTGGGAGACAGAGGCTGCAGTGAGCCAAGATCACGCCACTGCACTCCAGCCTGCACGACAAAGCGAGACTCCATCTCAAAAAAAAAAAAGTTGGCTTTGCATTAGATGATTTTGCCCAACTATAGGCTAATGTAAGTGTTCTGAGCACATGTAAGGTAGGTTGGGCTAAGCTATGATGTTCAGTAGGTTAGAGGTATTAAATGCATTTTTGACATGATATTTTCAACTTACGATGGGTTTACTGAAATGCAACTTCACTGTAAATCAAGGAGCATCTGTATTGGGAAGTGAGTTTGAAGACATAATTAAAGTCCCAATTCCATTAATCTTAAGATAGATTATCCACTTTGGGAGGCCGAGGCGGGCGGATCACGAGGTCAGGAGATTGAGACCATCCTGGCTAAAACGGTGAAACCCCGTCTCTACTAAAAATACAAAAAATTAGCCGGGCGTAGTGGCGGGCGCCTGTAGTCCCAGCTACTTGGGAGGCTGAGGCAGGAGAATGGCGTGAACCCGGGAGGCGGAGCTTGCAGTGAGCCAAGATCCCGCCACTGCACTCCAGCCTGGGCGACAGAGCGAGACTCCGTCTCAAAAAAAAAAAAAAAAAAAAAAAAAAGATAGATTATCTGAGTGAGCCTAAGCTAATCAAGTGAGACATTTAAAACTCATTTTCTCTGACTGATGGCAGAGGAAGGAAGTCAAAGATGTTTGAAGCATGAGGGGAATGAGTCCCTGCTTCTCAGGACATGAGAAGCAATCTTGCTGGCCACCAAGAGAAAGTAAACAGGTATGCAGTAAACTGTCAACGAAGAAAAAGGACAGATTCCTGAAGCTGAGAGTGAACCCCAGCCAAATATCAGCAAGAAAGTGAGGATGTCAAAGACTGCAAGAAAATGAATTCTGTCAAGAATCAGCGAGCTTGGAAGAGAACCTCAAGCCTCAAATGAGAATCTCAGCACCAGCCAACACCTTGACATCAAGTATGTGAGTTGTGAGCAGAGGATTCAGTTATAACAAGCCCAGACTCCTGACCCATGGAAACTGTCAGATTAATAAACAAGCACTGCCTTAAATCACGGAGTCCGTGGTAATTTTCAGCTTCCAAAACACAAAGACAAGGTAACAACATTCATCTGCTTTAGCCATCTTTCCCTTTGCTTCTGCCCTTGTGGTTTCACGTCTTTTAATTCTTTTATTCTCATTTGAGTACAGTATCAGAAAAGAGCATGTTCAACCAGAAGATGACCGCTATGATTTCCTCGACTGGAAATCCTCCTCCATCTGTTCTTTACTCCTCCTAAAATTCTTAGCACTTGGCATGTGAGGTCTCCTGGATCTCCACTCGTACTTTCTTATTGTTTCCTCTCAAGTTTCCATGTCTTTGTCATCAGCTCTGAATGGTTCAATGTGCCCTTTCATACTGCCTTTCAAAGCACCAATGCTATCCCCAGCAGAGGCCATTCTCTTCAGTTTTAGACTTTCAGAAACAAACAAACAAACAAACAAACAAACAAACAAAAAAGCCACTGCCTTCTCCATAGAGTTTTCGATATTTGTTAAAATTCTTTTCTGTCTCTTCCATTTGTTTTGCCTCCATAAGAAATGCCTGATCTGGCCGCGTGTGGCAGCTCATGCCTGTAATCCCAGCACTTTGGGAGGTCAAGGCAGGCGGATCATCAAGGTCAGGAGTTTGAGACCAGCCTGGCCAACATGGTGAAACCCTGTCTCTACTAAAAATACAAAAATTAGCTGGGCGTGGTGGTGAGCAGCTGTAGTCTCAGCTATTCAGGAGGCTGAAGCAGAAGAATCACTCAAACCCAGGAGGCAGAGGTTGCAGTGAGCCGAGATCAGGCCACTGTACTCCAGCCTGGGTCACACAGTGAGACTTGGTCTCAAAAAAAAAAAAAAAAAAAATGCCTGGTGTGCCTGTTCTTTCTCTTTCAAGTACTATGTTTCCCTAACTGGGCTGGGACAAATCTCTGCCTACTGACTTCTTAAGCTACTCAGCACCCAATCAGGACAGGTGTGGCAAAGAAGCAGGTAGTAAGAGGGAGCTGTTCTTTTCAAGGGCAGGAAGGTGATGTGGTCTTTCTCGAACCTTACAGACGGGGACAGATTGGCCCACCATTTCAGTTCTGCTCAAGATCTCCTGGGAATAAGACTGCAAGCCCAAACCACCACATGTAGAAAGCATCTGCATTTTAGACCCTACAGAAGCACCAAGTTCTACTATTCATGCTGAGCTTAGGAACCCAAGGACAGGGGCACCATCTCTGCCACACAGTGCAGGAGAAATGGAGCCTACCTTACCTCCCCAGCAAGGCTAAGGTCATCTGCCAGACCCTCTCTCTACAATCACCCTGCTTGTTGTGTTGCTCCAGAGAGTGAGAAGAGTGGAGGTCAGTGTCAGGGGCATGCCTTCAAACCACCACGTTCCCACCACTGCTCCAGCTTCTAAACA
Source organism: Homo sapiens (assembly GCF_000001405.40). Lineage (NCBI taxonomy): Eukaryota > Metazoa > Chordata > Mammalia > Primates > Hominidae > Homo > Homo sapiens. The sequence goes on along the minus strand of NT_187659.1, from coordinate 81,776 downwards.
TTCATTCAGAGACAAGTCACAGCAATTTCCAGGGAGGAGGGATCACATATGTCATACCCAAGCTCTGAAGGTGTAAGTGGTTTAGTTGCTTCCAGTTAAAGAGTTTCTGAAGTTGAGGTTACGGGTATTTTAGATAACGTCATCAGGGTGGCTCTCAGAAGAAGTAACCCTTGGACAGAGACTTGAATGATCTGAGGAAGCCAGCCATGCAAGCATCTGAAAGAAGAGATCATAGGCACAGGAAACAGCAACCAAGAAAAGCCCTGAGGTGAGCACAACAGGCTTAGTGCATTCAAAAAGCAACAGGCAAGCCATGGGGCTGGAATGGAGTGTGCCCAAAGAAGACAAGGGCTAACACAAGGGCAAGAATTAGACAAGGCAGGACAGGCAGGACATGGTGAGGGGCAGGGGTATTATTTCAGAGTGACTGCATGTTACTGGAGGAGTCCGAGAAGGGAAGAAACAAAAGCTGATTCACGGTATGTAGGTACTCTAAGCTGCTATATAGAAACCAGACTGTGAGTACAAGAAATGATGTAGGAGCATCCATTGAAAAAGTTTTTTACTTGTTCTTTCTCTTTTATTGTTTTATTTTCTCCTTTTTTTTCTCTTTTCTTGCCCTAACTCTATATGGTAGAACTGTTGAGAAACAATATTAGTTGTTCTAGTGAAAAATGACAGTAAATGCAAAGACAGATCAGAGGTAGCGAAGCCAGTGGTGAGGCCATTAAAAATAAATAGACAAGAGTGACTTCCACTTCTGGCCATAATAGACTAACAGAAACAGGATTCGCCCTCCCATCTAAAACAACCAAAAAATAGACAAAATACATGAAACATCAAACTTCAAGACACTGGACAAGGAAAAATAGTGATCCCTAAATGATGAGAAACAAGGAGGTTTGTTAGGAAATTCCACACCCCTCAATTGGAAGTGATTGATCTATAATGTAATGACATCCTGAAACACAGAAATCAAGAGAAGAATCTAATAGAATTCTACAAATGCCTTCCCAGTGACAAATATGCTCAATTAAAATCATATGCTCATGAGTTGATATTGTTATTTGGCAGTATCTACCTGTGTGAAGACATTTTCAAAGACAAAACACATTAAATCACATTAAAAATCAGCACTAAGAGAACATTTGCCATTGATTTAATGATAAAGACACTAACTTTGATGCCCAATTAAGCAAAATGTCATCTCCCCCTTCCCCTGAAAAAATTCTCTTCTCATTAACAGACCTGTATTACAAAAGAAAAATTTCATTCAATTATGATTGGTATATTTTTATGTCAATAAAAAACATGGTCTGGGCATGGTGGCTCATGCCTATAATCCTAGCACTTTAGGAAGCTGAGGCAAGAGAATCACTCAAGCCTAGGAGTTCAAGACCAGCATGGACAACACAGTGAGACCCTGTCTCCATCAAAATATTTTAAAAATTATCTGGGCATGATGATATGCACCTGTAGTGCCAGCTACTCTGGGAGCTGAGGCGAGAGGATCGCTTGAGCCTGGTGTGGGGCTCAAGGCTCCAGTGAGCTGTGATTACACCACTGCACTCCAGCCCGGGCAACAGAGTAAGACCCTGTCTCCAAAAGTACACATGGAAATTTGTGTCCTTGTTTGTTATATAGGAAGGTATATAATAGGCCCAATTTTGCCTCTTGACCTACAAAGCCTACCCTCTCACTGTTACCAGGAAAAAAAAAAAATTGTCAACCCCTAATCTAGATCAATCTCAGCAATACCAGGCTCTGCTCAGTACTCTAGAACAAGTAAAAATCTGGATCTAGAAACAGGCATTAAACCAAATTGCCAGGGCTTCTCTGGGCTTCAATACAGCATGGATGAGATGGTTCAGAAGATGTTAATCAGAAAGCACCAGAACATGAAGAAAACTTGAGGAGCATCTAGAATAGCTCCTCCTTTTAGAGGAAAGAGTTACAAGCCAGGAGAAAGACCTGCCCTTCCTAGGACCAGTCCATAAACTCTTGCCCCCTGCCCTGCTCCTCCTTCTGAGCCTTCAGCTACTTATTCCAGAATCTTACAATAAGCAAAATTACAACCAAACCACTGGTCCAATATTGACTCCCAAAGGTACAAACCAGAACCTTCTCAACACCCTGCTTTGGACTGTTCTCAGATCTAGGGCTGTATTAGCTCATTCTCACACTGCTATGAAGACATATCTGAGACTGGGTAATTTATAAAGGAAAGAGGTTTAATTGATCCACATTGCTGGGGAGGCCTCAGGAAACTTACAATGACGGCAGAAGGTAAAGGAAAAACAGGCACCTTCTTCACAGCCGGCAGGATAGAGTGAATGCCAGCAGGGGAAACGCCAGCTCCTTATAAAAATCAGATGTGGTGAGACTCACTCATAATCACAAGAACAGAATGCGGAAAACCACTCCCATGATCCAATGACCCTCACTTGGTCCCACCCTTGACACATGGGGATTATGGGGATTATAATTCAAAGTGAGATTCAGGTGGGGACAAACAGCCAAATCATATCAAGGACACACCAGGCATTTCTCACCCTGCTACAGTTTCAGAGGTCTTCTCGGGGTCCTCAGTACTTCCAAACTGAGATTACAGAAGAAATATTAAGCCCCTGGAAAAACTCTTAAAAAATATATACCAGATACACAGAAGCCAAAAAATACCCTAAAACTACTAATACAAGAGGCACTAAATTGAAGCTACTGAAGAAAACATCAGAGAAAATCTTACCTTGCTTGGCAATTGAACAGCAACATTTCACGGTTATAAATCAAAATATATAGAAGAACCAGGAAGGCTTTTGCTCTAACGTATGCTGAGAGGCTGTCAAGTAAATGGATAACTGTGGAGACAAAATCTTGTGGAAGACATTTAAAAAATTTTTTGAGAGAACATAAAAAAATAGGGCAGTCTCAATTCTCAGGGTGAACAGCCTATAATAATCAAGCAGATGGCAGGAAGTAAAATAATATCAACTACTGTTTTCGCATTCTCAATTTGTGCCAGATCCCATAACTAAATTTTAATATTATCTCATTTAAATCTGAAAGTCATAAAAAGTTGACAATATTGGCCGGGCATGGTGGCTCACACCTGTAATCCAAGCACTTTGGGAGGCCAAGGCGGGCGGATCATGAGGTCAGGAGATTGAGACCATCCTGGCTAACACAGTGAAACCCCGTCTCTACTAAAAATACAAAAAAATTAGCCAGGCGTGGTGGCACGCGCCTGTGGTCCCAGCTATCGGGAGGCTGAGGCAGAAGAATGGCATGAACCCAGGAGGCAGAGCTTGCAGTGAGCCGAGATTGCGCTACTGAACTCCAGCCTAGGCGACTGAGCAAGACTCCATCTCAAAAAAAAAAAAAAAAAGTTGACAATATTGTCCCCACTTGAAAGAGAAAAATGAATATTGAAAAGTTAAGCAATTACCCAAATTCAGATAATAAGCAATTTACCCAAATTCAGATAAAATTCAACTGGCCTTGTATAAAATCCACGCCAGTTGAATGACAAAGCCTGCCTGTTCACTACTCAATCACACAACTGGAAATGTGGCAGCAAATAATACAACTGTCAGTCACAACTGCATGTAGATATAAATCTCTGAGAAGAGCTGCATACAGAGAGATCATATCTCTGGTCTACACATCTGAGGGCTTAACAGAAAATGAAGACAATACTCAATACATGACACAAAGAAACATATACTCCTATACCACTCTTCAATTAAAGGTATAATTCAACACAGAGGACTAAGTATTGACAAGGAATACTGCTACTTTCCCTTTTAAAAAACAGACTATAAATAATTTATATCAATATGCAAACAGAAAACAGACACACATGCACACACATGGTTAATGAATGTAAATAGTCAGAAATATGGAATCATAATATCAGCAAGGTGACTACAGAGAACAGGAATATATAAGTTCCCAAGAGAGCTTAACAGAGGCCAGCACCTAACAGTAACACTGTGTGTCCAAGATAGATTTAAGAAGCTCGATTTTTTTTGGCCACACTCCAATCCTTTTCTATTCACTGGTATGTTTCCAGGTAGGAAGAATTTACATAGTCATGTATATGCCATGTAAACTCTATACTACTTAAGGATACAAACATATCTAAGCATCAGTCTCACCTAGTTCCTGAACCAAATTATCAAAGCCAAATTATTCATCTCGGGTAAAAAACAAATCAATGCAGTCATCCTTGAGTAGAAGATCTGTTTTCTACCTTTCCAGCAACAGACAGTAGAAAATCCATCTCCCCAGATGCATTCCTGATTCTAATTTATACTCTGTGGTCTAAGGACCACAATCACAAGTCTGTTTCCCATATCAACACCACCCCCAACATATACACACATAATTCCAAAGCCATTCAAATTTCCAGCAATCATAGACTGAAAAACTCTTCCAGATTATATGAGATTAAAAAGACATGATAACTGACTTCAATTCAAGATCTGGAAGTTCTGTTCCCCATAAAGAACACTATTGGGACAACTGGCAAAATCTGAATAAGGTCTGTAGATTAGCTAACAACACTGAATGTTAATTTCTTGATTTTGACAATCACGGCTTGTTTCAAGGAAACATTCAGTGAAGTAATTAGATTTAGAAAAGCATCATGTCCACAAACTTCTCAAATGGGTCAGAAAACATACACACACTCACACACATGTGCACACAAAGTGAAAGAGATAAAGACAGAGAGACAGATAAATCATAAAGTAAACATAGTAGAATGTTAACATTTGGTGAATGTGGGCAAAGGATCTATTGCAATCATTTACACTGTATGTCCAAAATTACACTCAGTGCCTACTCTAAACATGATACTCCTACTCTGAGGATCAGTCTACTAGCCAAACTCAGAAGCCTGGGTACCATCCTTGACCCTTCTTTCCTTTGTCCCATGCCCAATTAACCCCAAGCTCTGTGAAAATGACACCCCCACTATGGCTGTCTTATTTCTATGTACTATTATATCTTTCCTGAATTACTACAACAGGCTTTACCTAATTTTCCTTTATTCCATCTATTCTACAAATTTTAGCCACAGTGGATCCTCTATAAGAGCAAATATAACTCACCTATAAAATATTCTCAATAGTTACACTACCATTAAAAAGAAGCTAAAACTCGTGGCATATGAGGTTCTTCATGGTCTGGCTTTTCGTTATCTTTCCAAAATCATGTATCATACCATCAACTCCACTGAATACCCTCAACACTCACCATGAGGAAATAAAAAAAGGAAATTGAGAATATTGAAAAAAGGAAAGTGGCAAAGGGAATCCCAGGATGATTCCAAGGTGACAGCCTTCACCAGACAGAGAGCAGCCCATCTGTGTGGAAGCTGGTCAGAGACCCCCAGAGAGAACTCAGGAGAAAAAACTGACAGACTATCTGAAGCACCTGAGTGTAATTTGAAACACAAAGTGATGTAAACAAAGAAAGGTCCACTAGATATTGATCCACACAAAATTAACAGACCGAGTACATATGCATGTTGGAGCCTATCTCATGTCCTACTTCAAAATAAACACCAAACAAATCTAAGATTTAAGATCTAGAATAGGCCATGGCAGGTAGGAATACAAACATATATACGTACATATATACATATTTCAATCTCAGACTGGGGAAAATGTTCATAAATAATTTATCAGAAAGAACAAAATAAGCGTGAGAAATGTAAATACAAAAAACATTAAATGCCACATAGAAATAAAACACTATATAGAAAAACACATAAACTAGAGAATGTATTTGCAGCACATTTTTTGAATAAAGTGGTGATTCTCTTGATATATAAATATCAATAACTAAGAAAAGAACTAAAGAACTAAGAAAGTAAGAGTTCTAGAAACAACTGAAACCTCTGATCTCTTCCATATGGAATATCACATTAACCAAGGATAATTTAAAGTATTTCAAAAAATACAGAAAATAGGAGGCAAGTTTCATATAAAGCTATCCATACAAACCTATTTCATATATAAAGACAACAAAAAAGGAAAATCAAAAACATTTCAGCTGATAAAAACTTTTTTTGGAGACCGAGTCTCACTCTGTGCCCAGGCTAGAGTACAGTGGTGCAATCTCGCCTTACTGCAACCTCCGCTTCCTGGGTTCAAGCAATTATCCTGCTTCAGCCTCTCAAGTAACTGGGACTACAGGCTCGTGCCACCATGCCCGGCTAGTTTTTTGTATTTTTAGTAGAGATGGATTTTTACCGTGTTAGCCAGGATGGTCTCGATCTCCTGACCTCGTGATCTGCCCGCCTTGGCCTCCCAAAGTGCTGGGATTACAGGTGTGAGCCACCATGCCGGGTTGAAATGCTCTGATTTTACCTGCTATGGTCTGAATGTTTTTGCTTGCCCCCAATCATATGTTAAATTTAATCTCCAATGTAATAATGTTAAGAGGTGGAGCCTTTGGGAGGTAAGTAGGTCATAAGGACTACACCCTCATGAATGAGGTTAGTACCCTTATAAAAGAGGCCTGAGTGAGTTTATTTACCCTTTCCAACATGTAAGGACACAAAGAAGACACTATCTGTGACAAATGGGCCCACACTAGACACCAAATCTTCTAGTGCCTTGATCTTGGACTTCCCAGCCTCCAGAATGGTGAGCAATAAATTTCCATTATTTATACATTACCCAGTCTAAGGTACCTTGTTATAGCAGCCCAAACATACTAAGATACCACTCAACCAAAACAAAAAACAAAACAAGGCAAAATTAAGGGAGAGGTAAGCTGTACTGTAACCGCTCAATTTGAAGGAACTATCATTAAGTAAGCATTTATAGACATCAAAAAGGTCCAAGTCACTTAGTTATACAAGACAAGGAGGTATAGACAATATACCTTAGGAATACAGATGCAAAGACTCCTCAACAAAATATAAGCACATTGATCCAGAATATATTAAAGGAATAAAACATTATGACCAAGTGAGGTTTACCCCAGGAATTCAAGGCTGATTCAACATTTGAAAAGCAATCAGTGTAATTCATCATAATTAACGGATGAAACAAGAAAAATCACATAACCATATCAATTACTAATAAAAAAGCATTTTACAAAATTCAACATACATTCATAATAAAAACTCTCAGCAACCTAGGAATAAAAGAGACGTCCTCAATCTGAAAAAAGGCAAGCAGAAAAAAACCTACAGCTAGCATCATACTTAATGATGAAAGACTAGGTGTTTCCCCAGAAACTGGGAAGAAAGCAAGGATGTCCACTCTTATCACCCATGATTCAATATTTTACTGAAAGCTGTAGCCAGTATAAGAAAAATAAATAAATGACATTTAGATTTGAATGAGAGAAATATTTGCAGATGGCATGATGATCTATGTAGAAAATCCCAAGGAATTTACAAAAAAAAGTTTCTATAACTTATAAGTGAGTTTAGCAAGATCTAGTATATTTCAATATACCAATAATGAACAAATGGAAAATAAATCCTTTTTAAAGTACTACTTTTCAATAGCTCCAACCATAACAACAACAAAGAAGTATTGCTTTCACCCTAACAAAACATCTACAGAATCTGTACATTAACACTCTAAAATAGTGATAAAATAAAACTTTTTAAACATATAATGAAGAGACATTCCATGTTCATGTAGTAAGACTCAAGTTAGTCATCAATTCTCCCCAAATTGATCTATAGACTCAATGCAACTTCAATCAAAATCCCAACAGGATATTTTGTAGATATAAACTAAGTTTAAAATTTCTATGGAAAGGTAAAAAAAAAAAAACTAGAAAATGCAAAACAATTTTGGGGGGATATGCAAGAATCACACAATAATTTTAAGACATACAAAAACTACAGTGATCAAAACAATGTAGTATTGACAAAATGAGACACACAGAATGAGGAAACAAACTAGAGTTCAGAAATATAGTCAATTAGTTTACGATAAAGGTGCAAAGGCAACATTGGAAAAAGGATAATCATATCACCAAATGATGCTGGAACAACTGAATATCCGCATGCAAAAATGTTAACTTACACTCATTCCTCACTCCATATGCAAAAATTAACCCAAAATGTATTATACAACTGAATATCAGTAAACTTCATCAAAATTAAAATTTCTCCTCTGTGAAGGACACTGTAAGAAAAGACAAGCCACATACTCAGAGAAAATATTTGTACCCAGAATATATAAAGAACTCTCAAAACTCAAAATTAAGAAAAAAAATTTTAATGAACAAAATATTTAAACAGACATTTCACCAAAAAAAGTATCTGTCAAATAAATAAATGCAAGGATGCTCAATATCATAATCATTACAGTAGTGCAAATTAAAATCATACTGACTATAACTATGAACTTATTAGAATGACTAGCATGAAAAATGGTGAGTATGTGAAGCAATTGAAGTTTTTCATACATTGCTAGTGGAAATGCAGAAATGGCACAGGAATCCTGGAAAACAGTTTGGCAGTTTCATTAAAATGTTCAATACATACCTATCATATATGCCTCAACCATCCTACTTCTAAGTATCCTAATGAAATAAAAACTTAAGTTCACAGAGAATCTTGTACACAAAAATTGATAGCAATATTTAGTTATAATACAGATTGAGTATCCCAAATCCAAAAATCTGAAATCTGTAATGCTCCCAAATCCAAAACTTTTTGAGCACTGACATGATGCAAGTGGAAAATTCCACACGTAAGTACTTAACACAAACTTTGTTTCATGCACTGAAAATATTTAAAATATTGTATGAAATTACCTTCGCCTTATTTTATACAAGGTGTATATGAAACATAAATAAATTTTGTGCTTAGACTTGGGTCCCATCCCCAAGCTATCTCATTATGTATATACAAATATTGCAAGATCCTAAAACACTGAAATCTGAAACACTTCTGGTCTCAAGCATCTTGGATAAGGGATATTTAACCTATAGTCAAAAACCGAAAACAGTTCACATGTCCTTCAATGTGTACATGAATAAAGAAACTGTGGTACATCTACATAATGAAACAGTACTCTGCAGTAATGAACTACTGATACATGCAGTGACATGGATGAACCTCAACTGCACTGTATTAAGTGAAAGAAACCAGCTGCAAAGATTATATGCAGTATGATCACATTTATATGACATTCTGGAAAAGCTAAAGCTATAGGGGCAGAGAAGACATCAGTGATTGCCAGGGACTGGGATGGAGGGTGGTTTGCCTAAGAAAAAAGCAGCACAAGGTCATTTTTTGGGAAACTGGAATTGTTCTGTATCTTTCTACAAAAATTAGCCAGCTGCAGTGGCTCATGCCTGTAACCCCAGTTACTCGGGAGGCTGAGGCATGAGAATTGCTTGAACCAGGAGGCAGAGGTTGCAGTGAGTCAAGATCGCACCACTGCACTCCAGCCTGGGCAACAGACAGACTCCATCTCAAAAAAAAAAAAAAGAGAGAGAGAGATATGGGGTCCCACCATGTTGCCCAGGCTGGCCTTGAACTCCTAGATTCATGCAATCCTCCAGCCACAGCCTCCCAAGTAACTGGGGCTACAGGCGCATACAATTGTGCCCAGCTTGAATTGTCTATACTAAAATCTGTGAATCCTAAAATCTGTCGCTATAAATACAGTCTGATAACGATTAAAGTAAATTAGCATTAACTACTTTAAGTTTTTAGAGATTATAATTATAGAAATTTGTAATGAGCTCATCCAATATATTTCTCCCCAGTAAACAGCAGGAAATATCCATGAGCCCTCAAACTCCTCCAGCCTTGAAAATGAAATATTTGGGCCGGGCGCAGTGGCTCATGCCTGTAATCCCAGCACTTTGGGAGGCAGAGGCAGGTGGATCACGAGGTCAGGAGATAGAGATCTTCTGACTAACACAGTGAAACCCCGTCTCTACTAAAAATACAAAATTAGCCCGGAGTGGTGGCGCATGCCTATAACCCCCAGCTACTCGGGAGGCTGAGGCAGAAGAACGGCTTGAACCTGTGAGGTGGAGGTTGCAGTAAGCCAAGATCACACCATTGCACTCCAGCCTGGGCAACGAGCGAAACTCCGTCTCAAAAAAAAAAAAAAGTTTCCTATTAAGTGTTTAGGGGAAAAAAATGGAAAAAGTGGCTTACTGAGTGCCAGGCACCCTGCTAAGCGTGGTATATACACTGGCTCACTTAGTCCTCATATCCAGATGAGCAAATTGAAGTCTAGAGAAGTTACGTGAATTGCTCAAGATCAAAGATTGGAAAATGGCAGAGGAGGGGCTTGCTGACTCCTAAGTCCATCTTTAGCTTAAATCTTACACTTGACTTCTAATCTTCTAATTTTTCATTTTATTCCCTTCACTGTGGTCTCACAGGTTTCCCTTGTTTCTGACAATTGATAAACTTGCCTCTTTTTTCTTTGAAATGGAGTTTCACTCTTGTTGTCTAGGCTAGAGTGCAATGGCCCAGTCTCGGCTCACTGCAACCTCTGCCTCCAGGGTTCAAGCAATTCTCCCACCTCAGCCTCCTGAGTAGCTGAGATTACAGGTGTCTGCCACCACACCTAGCTAATTTTTGCATTTTTATTAGAGACGAGGTTTCACCATGTCAGTCGGGCTGGTCTCAAACTCCTGACCTCAGGCAATCCTCCTGCCTCGGCCTCCCAAAGTGCTGGGATTACAGGCGTGAGCCACTGCGCCTGGCCAAAGTTGCCTCCTTTTAATTCAGATCCTTGGCTCTCCTCCTCCACTCCCACTGGCCCCACCTCCCAACATTGGCCCTACTCCACCCCACAGGCGGTAACAGGGATTTACACCTCTTTCCAGATCCACCTGCCAACTCCTGCTCTGCTCTCCTCCCTCAGGGACCCATTAGCTACACAGGTCTTTCCTGTGCTCTTTCTAAAATGCAAATCTAGATATTTCACCAACTTAATTAAATGCCCTCAGCTGTCCTTAGGAATGAGACTAAGGCCTTTCCTGATCTGGTCCTCGCTACCTCTCCAGCCTCCTCACCCACTTGCTCCTTGCCCTGTGCCTAATCGACACACTCCTTCTGGGTTCTAGCCACCCTCTGGCTGAAATTCCTGTTATTCCTAGTCTGCCTACTCATCCTCCAAGGCTCGTCTGAAGACATTCCTCTAAATGTTTCCAGAAACACTTCAAGACAGAACTTACTGTTCCTCCTCCATCCTTTCCCAGACCACAAACCTGGATCACACCGCACTATGATCACTAGTCTTTCCTACCGGCCCAGAAGGTCTTTGAGAGCAAATACATTTGATTACTTAGTTCTGTCAGTGCCCTAAACAATTCAGGTTTTTAATCAGTGTCAGCTGGATGAGTTACTTTCCCTTTTCATGCCTATTTTAACATATTCCCTCTGGATAAAAATTCTAGATTTGCAGGGCTACAAACAGTAGAGCTGTCTTTGGTCCCTCCCTGGAGGCGCTTCAATTGCTGGCGAGATGGCTGCCTCAAGGCAACTTTGCTCACAGAGGATCACAGGAAAAAGCTCTTCAGTTCGAGAGGTATTTACCTATTGATTAGGTTCCTCTGTGCGTCGGTACTATCGAGAGGAAGCTGATGTCGTAACTCCGGTCCTTTTTCACTTTCTTAAATTTTTTTCCTCCCAAATGAAAAGTGGGTGAATGAATGAAAATCCACTGACCATCAAATGTATTTTACACTCTGAAACATTCCCCATTTTTGTGAGTGCAAATTAATTCAAATAGGATTTCCCTTCCTAACGGCACAATCAACTGCACTGTCTTCAAAAAGAGATGTGGACTGCTTGAAAATGAGACGCTTGTGTCACAAGGACATTGCACATGGACACAGAGCAGCATGATGGTTTCCAAGCCACACGCATCATGCCAGGCAGACCCCACCGCTAAGGCTAGAAGGAACTCTGGTGAAGCACTGACTCCAAACAAAGAGGGACTTTGGTCCAGCAACCCCGTCCCACCCTACAGCAGACGGGCTGGGGCCTGGACGCTCTACAACAGTAAGTAGTCTAGGATTCAGTTCTAACTGGCTTAGAGAACAATGGGTCAGGCGCTTTGGGTAATTTTTTATAACAGGCTCACCTTTTTTATAATATTTGATCCAGATTTTGACAGTTATGCTTTATTTATTTAGCCCACCCAGGAAATCAAGTATCCTACATAAATCAATCTTCCAGGGAGCAAAGCTTTAAGGGTTCTCTCAGAACCATTATTTTGACCATTCTTATGCAAATCTTTTAAAGATATATACATTTCTTTATTTCTGAAGTGACTACAGTGATTATAATTTAGTCAGTGCTAAGGAGTCGGCTTCATCAAAAAGAACATCAGTGATTATTCTGTGTTGTGACACTGTGATACCCTGAGGAGCTATTGAGATGTGAAGCTCTTTTCCCATAAACAAAATGGTCCCAGATTACAATGCCTTTAATTCTTCTGACAGCTTTTCATAATTCTTCTGTCTCCTCCTTCCAATGTTGCCCATCACTTCTTACTAATGTTAATTACTATGACTTCATTTCCTAAACTGCTGCCTTCATTTAATTTTATAGAGAATCCTAAATCAATGGGCCTGAGGGAGCTGTCACACCTCTCCTACGGAGTAGTATCTGTGAGCTCTGTGTCATTCTTCTCAGAGCTGAAAGGCCCCTCTCTCTCACTTCTGGATTTCTAGCCACTTTCCAAATGGCTGATGCTGCCAGGAACATTAAATTTTACTTCGCATTCAATGAATACATACTGGCTGGCAGAGGAGGATAGTGGCCTAGAAACTTCTTTGGTTAACCCTAGGAGGTCAACTGAGATTAAATCTTGCTATGGACAACTCACAAAATGTGTAATTGACAGTGGTCTGCAGCCAGAATACAAAGGTCTTAAGACCAAAAGCTTCTCTGTAAAGCTTTTGTAAAGCAAAAGCTTGCTTTACTCCGCTAAAGCAAGTAAGAAGGTGACGCATCCATGGTATTGTCTAGATCAAAGTCACAGCTGTTTTTTTTTTTTTAATTATACTTTAAGTTCTAGGGTACATATACACAATGTTACATACAGGTTACATACGTATACATGTGCCATGTTGGTGTGCTGCACCCATTAACTCATCATTTACATTAGGTATATCTCCTAATGCTATCCCTCCTCCCTTCCCCCACCCCACAACAGGCCCCGGTGTGTGATGTTCCCCTTCCTGTGTCCAAGTGTTCTAATTGTTCAATTCCCATCTATGAGTGAGAACATGCGGTGTTTGGTTTTTTGTTCTTGCAATAGTTTGCTGAGAATGATGGTTTCCAGCTTCATCCATGTCCCTACAAACGACATGAACTCATCATTTTTTATGGCTGCATAGTATTCCATGGTGTATACGTGCCATATTTTCTTAATCCAATCTATAATTGGTGGACATTTGGGTTGGTTCCAAGTCTTTGCTATTGTGAATAGTGCTGCAATAAACATACGTGTGCATGTGTCTTTATAGCAGCATGATTTATAATCCTTTGGGTATATACCCAGTAATGGGATGGCTGGGTCAAATGGTATTTCTAGTTCTAGATCCCTGAGGAATCGCCACACTGTCTTCCACAATGGTTGAACTAGTTTACAGTCCCACCAACAGTGTAAAAGTGTTCCTATTTCTCCACATCCTCTCCAGCACCTGTTGTTTCCTGACTTTTTAATGATCACCATTCTAACTGGTGTGAGATGGTATCTCATTGTGGTTTTGATTTGCATTTCTCTGATGGCCAGTGACGATGAGCATTTTTTCATGTGTTTTTTGGCTGCATAAATGTCTTCTTTTGAGAAGTGTCTGTTCATATCCTTCGCCCACTTGTTGATGGGGTTGTTTGTTTTTTTCTTGTAAATTTGTTTGAGTTCATTGTAGATTCTGGATATTAGCCCTTTGTCAGATGAGTAGGTTGTGAAAATTTTCTCCCATTCTGTAGGTTGCCTGTTCACTCTGATGGTAGTTTCTTTTGCTGTGCAGAAGCTCTTTAGTTTCATTAGATCCCATTTGTCAATTTTGGCTTTTGTTGCCATCGCTTTTGGTGTTTTAGAAATGAAGTCCTTGCCCATGCCTACATCCTGAATGGTATTGCCTAGGTTTTCTTCTAGGGTTTTTATGGTTTTAGGTCTAACATGTAAGTCTTTAATCCATCTTGAATTAATTTTTGTATAAGGTGTAAGGAAGGGATCCGGTTTCAGCTTTCTACATATGGCTAGCCAGTTTTCCCAGCACCATTTACTAAATACGGAATCCTTTCCCCATTTCTTGTTTTTGTCAGGTTTGTCAAAGATCAGATGGTTGTAGATGTGTGGCATTATTTCTGAGGGCTCTGTTCTGTTCCATTGGTCTATTTCTCTGTTTTGGTACCAGTACCATGCTGTTTTGGTTACTGTAGCCTTGTAGTATAGTTTGAAGTCAGGTGGCATGATGCCTCCAGCTTTGTTCTTTTGGCTTAGGATTGTCTTGGAAATGCAGGCTCTTTTTTGGTTCCATATGAACTTTAAAGTAGTTTTTTCCAATTCTGTGAAGAAAGTCATTGGTAGCTTGATGGGGATGCCATTTAATCTATAAATTACGTTGGGCAGTATGTCCATTTTCATGATATTGATTCTTCCTATCCATGAGCATGGAATGTTCTTCCATTTGTTTGTATCCTCTTTTATTTCATTGAACAGTGGTTTGTAGTTCTCCTTGAAGAGGTCCTTCACATCCCTTGTAAGTTGGATTCCTAGGTATTGTATTCTCTTTGAAGCAATTGTGAATGGGAGTTCACTCATGATTTGGCTCTCTGTTTGTCTGTTATTTGTGTATAAGAATGCTTGTGATTTTTGCACACTGATTTTGTATCCTGAGACTTTGCTGAAGTTGCTTATCAGCTTAAGGAGATTTGGGGCTGAGATGATGGGGTTTTCTAAATATCCAATCATGTCATCTGCAAACAGGGACAATTTGACTTCCTCTTTTCCTAATTGAATGCCCTTTATTTATTTCTCCTGCCTGATTGCCCTGGCGAGAACTTCCAACACTATGTTGAACAGGAGTGGTGAGAGAGGGCATCCCTGTCTTGTGCCAGTTTTCAAAGGGAATACTTCCAGTTTTTGTCCATTCAGTATGATATTGGCTGTGGGTTTGTCATAGATAGCTCTTATTATTTTGAGATACGTCCCATCAATACCTAATTTATTGAGAGTTTTTAGCATGAAGGTTGTTGAATTTTGTCAAAGGCCTTTTCTGCATCTATTGAGATAATCATGTGGTTTTTGTCTTTGGTTCTGTTTATATGCTGGATTACTTTTATTGATTTGCATATGTTGAACCAGCCTTGCATCCCAGGGATGAAGCCCACTTGATCATGGTGGATAAGCTTCTTGATGTGCTGAGTCACAGCTGTTTCTGAGTCTGGTCTTCCCTAGTTGAACCACAGACCCATGCAAAGGCAAGTTTCAAAGGAAGGCTGGGGCCATACTCCCTGGGGCATGTACCCCCTTAATCCTTTCTGTGACTCTCATCTGCAGTACTTCCCTAAGTGTCCTGACAAAGGAGATTCACAGCACACAAACTTTCCCTGGGTCTTGGCATGCCCTGAACATCTAGATCAGACCATGAGATTTTTGCCCAGGTTTGACTTCCCCACCTGGAAGAGCCAGGGCCCTTTCCACATAATGGTGTTACTTACAGTGACAGGCAGGTCTAGAGGATTAAGGTGCTTGTCCTGCCGGCAGAAAGCAAAAGCATAGAGAGAAGCAGACGGAATGAGCTTTCAGCTTACATTCAAACAAGGACCAGGAAGGAAGATTAACAGAGCCAAGCCATCCACCAAAGACAAGGACAGAAAGAACCACAGATGCTTTTGGTCTTCCCTCTAGAATCTACCAAGAGCTGGGTACATACATGATCCCACTTAGATTTCATCTTACTGAGCCCATGAGATTGTCAGAGAACTAAAACGTCTTACTTTTAACACCACTTGGGCTTTTCTCAGAGAAATCTAGAATGTTAGTGTTGGAAGGGCTGTCAGAGATCATTTAAACTGGCCCTTTCATTTTACAAAAAGAGAAACTGAGACCCAAAGAGGTTACAAGCACTTGCCCAGCCAGCAGCAGGGAGAGTACTTAGTTCCAGGCCCCTTGGCTCTTAGGTCAGGGCTTGTTCCACCACCCAGCTGATTCTTAGTTTCCTCATCTGTGAAACAGGGAGCTTGTTTTTCCTCAGACACCCTTGTGAGCTAAACAAGGCAGATGTTGTTGCTGCCATGTGACAGGTGAGGAAACTAAGGTTCACAGAGGCAGAGCTATTTGCATAATGTCACAGTTAATGAACAGGCGAAAGAAGATGTTTAGAATCTGCATCAGAGAACCTTTAAACATAAAACTTAGTGTGAAGTCCCATTTATATTGGAGCCCTTGGACTCAGGGTACCCACAGGGTCTCTTCTTCCTTATTCTTGATCCTCTAACCCAGGAGTTGGCAAACTATGGCCATATTAGGCTTGTTGCCTGTTTTTGTAAATAAGATTTTATTGGAAGACAGCCATACCCATTCATTTACCTACTGTCTGAGGCTGCTTCTGGCTACAATGGCAAGGTTGAGTAGCTATCACATAGGCCATATGGCCCATAAAGTCAAACATGTTTATTCTCTGGCCCTTTAGAGGAAAAAGTTTGAAGGGCCCTAATCTCATCTAAGATCCAGCTGGTTTCTCCTCATAGTTCTTCCCTGGGTCTTCCTTAGCAAAGCCACCCTGCTGGGCTCTAGACCAGAGGGCTAGGAGGAAGGACTCTTGGGAAAATGCCTGGATTTGTGCTCTCTGAACAGCAAAGAGTACGTGGGGTGAGAATTCTTCTCTCAGAAGAGCCCAGATGAAGAATGTGAAAAGGCAGCCACAGATCTGTCTCTAGTCCTCGGGAGGCTTCAGAAAAAGTGCATTAATCAGTGCAATGGCGTAGGTCTGAATCTCCTGTCTGGAGCTATGTCAATGGAGAAAGACGGCACAGGGAGATTAGAAGACTGAACAGCAAGATGATGCTTAGAGATAGTTTAAAACAATCATTTACAGATTATAAGCAAATAATGACCTGGAGCTAAGTCTCAAAAGCATCCAAAGTGGACATGCTCTTGACCCAGCAATTTCACTAATAGAAACTTATCCTAAGACAGTAATCAGAGAGCTATGCAAGATTTACTGACAAGGCATTTCACTAAAGTACAACTTAAAAAAGAATGGAAAGTAATCCAAATGATCACAGTAGCCAACTGTTTATATATATGAGAATCTTAAGTAGTTATTAAAAGTCATGTTTTAGGGTAAATAAACATTCTTAACCTGGGATTCAGGGATGGGCTTAGAGTATCTGTGAACCCCAGGAATGATACAGAAATTATTCTATGTAGTTTGCTGACGAAGTGGTATTTTCTCCAAACTGGTGAGAGTACATACTTGTTAACCAGATTTTCAAAGGTGTCTAGGTTGCAAAAAAGACTTAGAACTACCTTTTAGAAAAATCTTTGACATGGAGAAATGTTCAAGATATATTATTCAGTTAAAAAAAATCAAGGTACACATAGTATATATAATAAGATCCCAATTTTGTTAAAAATATGCATAAAAAATACTGAAGGGATATTTAATGTTTAACAGTGGGTATGTCTGGAGGTGAGATAATGGGCAAATAATTTATTTTTGGGTTTTTCTGTATTTTTAAAGTCTTGACTATAAACTTATTTTATTATGAACAAACAAAATAACTACAATCATTCCCTGGAATCTTACAATCTCAGTACTTGACATCTCCACCTGCCATGTCTTGGGAGCATTCTGTGGCTGTCTTTCCAGAGGGGCTGATGGGCTTCCTGGTTAGTCACAGGGTACCCAGAGAGTCTACCAGAGGGCACGAAGTGTCCCTCAGCCCAAATAGGAAAGCATATAGGTTCTGGCGACAGCTGTGGGCTGAAAGTATTCACGATTGGCCCCTGTGAAATGCCATGTTCCCGTATCGACCCTAGGGAGGCAACTAGGGCCACTCCGAATTCAGAGACAAAAAAACAGAGGTAGACGTGAGGTTACGGGAAAATCAGAATTCTCTATCTGGAGTTTATAATATCCCTCTCATCTTCATCAACCTTGGTGGCTCACTGGGTATGAAAGCTGAGGCTAGACCAGGCATGGTGGCTCACACCTGTAGTCCCAGCTACTAAGGAGGCTGGAGTGGGAGGACTGCTTGAGCCCAACAGTTTGAGACCAGCCTGGACAACACAGCGAGACCCTATCTCTACAAAAATAAAAAAAAAAATTGGCCAGGTGTGGTGGCTCAGGCCTGTAATCCCAGCACTTTGGGAGGCCGAGGCGGGCAGATCACGAGGTCAGATCGAGACCATCCTGACTAACACAGTGAAACCCCATCTCTACTAAAAATACAAAAAATTAGCCAGGCATGGTGGCAGGCACCTGTAGTCCCAGCTACTTGGGAGGCTGAGGCAGGAAAATGGCATGAACCTGGGAGGCGGAGCTTGCAGTGAGCCGAGATGGCACCACTGCACTCCAGCCTGGGCAACAGAGCGAGACTCTGTCTCAAAAAAATAAATAAATAAATAATTAAAAAACAAAAAAAAAAACTAGCCAGGTGTGGTGGAGTGTGCCTATGATTCCAGCTACTCAGGAGGCTGAGATGAGGAGGACTGCTTGAACCTGCAGTGAGTTATGATCATGCCACTGCACTCCAGCCTGGGTGACAGATTGTTTCAAAAAAGAAAGGCAAAGAAAGCTGAGGCTGAAAATTTCTTAAAAGTGACAAGGAGAAATCAGAGTTGCAAAGAAATAATTGTGCTTCCTTTTTACTTGGATTAGTGGGGAGAAACAAGTTGGGAACATAGCTGAGTGAAAACAGGGTCACTATAACCTCCCAAATCTGGGAGCTATGACTTCCCCTCAAACTGGTGGGGGGATTCTGGCAACATTCTGACAATATCCAAAAAGACAGAAGTGAACAACAGTCAGAACAGAATCATCAGTAGTGCCACCGCTGTTCTGCAAAGTCCAGCTTCCTTACCTGGTGTAGGTTGGTTGGACAGGAAGTAAAAACAATGAAGACAGGAGAAACATAACTCCAATGGGTTCATTTGTCATATGGTTTCATTACTGGTAAAATGTTTTAGGATGTGATGAGAGTCTTAACAAACAAAAGCAAAAAGCCCCTGAATTTACTGAATACTTAACCTGTGCTGGCCACTATGCTAGACTTTTTTAAAATCTCCTTTGATCCTCACGTGAGAAGTGAAGATGATTAACCTAGTCTAGAGATGAAGAAACTGAGGCCAGAAGAGACTAGGTTACTTGCTGATAGCAGAGACCCAGTATGCAGAAGAGCCTGGATTTGAATTGATATTCCAAACTCACGCCCTGTGTGATACTTCTTACAATCACCCACAGCGCATCATCAGTTCAGTAAGCATTCATTCAACAAGTACTAATAAAACAGGGGATATGACAATGATTGATCTCTGTTTCTAGGGGGCTCTATGTTCAAAATGGGCAACAGATAATAAAAATCCAGTATTTTATATAATTATCATAGGTACAAACAGACTACTGGGCTCATGTGGGGAGGAAGCATCTAATTTTGCCTGGTACTAGGGCAGTATGGGAAGACTGGGAAAATCTTCATTTTAACCTAAGGGGCAGAGAGAGTTACAGAGGATTTTAGGCAGGAGCATGACATGATGAGGTCTGAATGATGGTAGAAATTCTGGCAGGAGTGTGGAAGAGGCGATGAATGAAGAAGCCAACCAGCAGCTTGGAATATAAGCAAAGCAGAGTAGGATTGGAAGACTTCAAATAAGAGGAGAGACGAGGACAGACAAGTGAAGGGAGGGAGGTGTAGGGGTGTAGGGTCTTTTACTCACACCTGGAAGTGTGAGATGAGCTGTCCCATGGTGATTTCCTCAGCTATCTTCTGGTACAGACTCTGGTATCTTCTGGTGTGGACTATGCTCTCCAGGATGGCCAGGGACCTCTGAAGGACTGAAACATCCACCGTGGGCTCGCTCACATACCCTGCAATCTAGGCCCAGAGATGGCACATCAATTGAGAAGCTCAGGGCCTAAGAAAGATAGAAGCTTAGCATCTGATGCTAGCCCTTGGAGCTCTCTCTGCTTCACATTTGGGCAGCTATTGCTAGGTGGACAGTGGTACCTGGTTTACGGCTACCCTGGCCAATGTGCCAGGGATTCCCTTGGCATGGATACCTTAATTTCAGATTATAGTATCCACTTAATTGTGTTTCCTCAAAATCTAAAAGCTTAATTCTTTTTATCAAAATAAGAGTTCCAGCATGAGAAAGTGGGGTATAAAAAAGCAGAAGATTGCCAGGCACGGTGGCTCACACCTGTAATCCCAGCACTTTGGGAGGCCGAGGCGGACGATCATGAGGTCAGGAGATCGAGACCATCCTGGCTAGCACTATGAAACCCCATCTCTACTAAAAATACAAAAAATTAGCCGGGTGTGGTGGCGGGTGCCTGTAGTCCCAGCTACTCGGGAGGCTGAGGCAGGAGAATGGTGTGAACCCAGGAGGCAGAGCTTGCAGTGAGCTGAGATCGCGCCACTGCACTCCAGCCTGGGTGACAGAGTGAGGCTCCATCAAAAGAAAAAAAAACAGCAGAGGATTTTACTCATACTGGGATCTCATTTTATCTCCATGTATTCCTCCCCTGACACACATTCTCCCTAAACACACTTAAGACTTTGAGAGGTAGAAAGGACCTTGAAGCCTTTTACTCTAATCCTTCTTCTCAATCCCCATTATAATATACCTGACACATGGTCATTTCACTTGTGTCCAGGGTCGGGGAGTCCCAATGTCCTAAGCCAATGATAAGTGAAGTTCTAGGGCAGCAGAGAGAGTATTATTCAATGGTTTTAATTCAGTTTTCTGAATTGACACTGCTCCTTTGTATAAAAGAAAGGAAGGTAAAACCAGAAGTACCCTCTCCTACCCACTGAGCTTAGTCTGACAATACAAACAGGCTACCTTGCAGATTTGTAAATAGAAGGCAGATTTGCAAATGAAATGCACATTTTTTTTTAATCCAAAGAGAAGAGAGAGCTCAGGAAGTCAGTCAAAAGACTCAGGGATAGTCCTGGTTGACTGGCTGGCTTTATCCCCAGTCTCACTGACAACCTAACTCTACTTTGATCATATTTAGTTCTGACGGTCCAGTTCCATCTCAGTGCAGGCCCTGAGAGTATAACAAAATCCACATCTTTCAGAAGCCACAAAAGACCAGAACTTGAGGATGAAAAATCTGGCCCCAGGGAATATAAAGCTGATATCACCAAAATAGCGATATTGCTTGTATCTCCCCTTAAACCCTGTGAACTGGCAGCTGAGGGAGGAGAGAAAGACAGAATGTTGGATGCCTCACCTGCTTAATAAAGGTGATTGAAACCATGTCCCAGGAGACAATGCCATGGTCCATGAGCTCTAGGAAGGCAGTCAGGGTGAATGCCAGCATATCACTGTAGCTGAGACACACACAAAATGGACAAAGATGCAGACTGGGAAACACAGGTGTGAGGGCAGCCACAAAAAAGATGAATTTTAGGCTGGGTGTGGTGGCTCATGCCTGTAATCTCAGCACTTTGGGAGGCTGAGGCGGGTGGATGAGATCAGGAGATCGAGACTATCCTGGCTAACATGGTGAAACCCCGTCTGTACTAAAAAATACAAAAAACTTAGCCAAGTGTGGTGGCGGGCACCTGTAGTCCCAGCTACTCCGGAGGCTGAGGCAGGAGAATGGCATGAACCTGGGAGGCAGAGCTGGCAGTGAGCCGAGATTGGGCCACTGCACTCCAGCCTGGGTGACAGAGCCAGACTCCGTCTAAAAAAAAAAAAAAAAAAAAAAAAAAAAAAAAAATGATGAATTTTAATGTGAACACCCCATGGGAAATCAGTCGATGCAACTGTAACTGTAAGTGCCTGTGCGCACACCTAGCAAGTAGAGCAGGTTCAGCCCAGGTATCTATCACTGCCAAAAAAAATGCTGCTGGCTGATCAGACCTTTCTTCTCTATGTGCTTCATCCTAGGGACACAGAATCACTTATCTATTTCTCAAGACCAAAGAAGACATCGGACCCTTGTCAAACTCCAGCACCTATTGGGGGAACCTAAGGAGGCATAAGTGCCATGTTAACCTTTGGGCCAAGAGGCAGTAGAGTGCAAGAGATGGGCTCAGTTCTTGTCCACCTTACTAACCAAGCAAATTTTATCTTTTCAAAACTCAATGTCTTCCTCTGTAAAATCAAGTTAGTCTCACAGCGTTAACCTCACAGGATTGTGGAGAGGGCAAGATGATGATGTATGCAAAGCACTTATTCTAGTGCTGATAGAGAATAAGGATTAAAATGTTTTCTCTTTTCTCTCTTCTCCTTTATATATCTGTACAGTGCTCTAGAATTAACAGATGATATTCCCATTTACAAAGCATGTTCAGACACAGTCTCATTAACAATACTTCTCACAATAATACTGCAAGGTAGCTATTATTATCCTCAGGCTAAAGAGAGGGAAACTAAGGCCAGTCTAACCCTGCACTCTCGGGAGACTGTAGAACTGTGTCAGTGCTGATGGCAGCTGAAGGCTTCAGGACTTGAGTACAGCTGGAAGATCCAAGATGTAAAACAAATATCTATGATTAGTTACTTGATTTGGCTGAAAATTTCCATAGTTCATCTACGGGCTGAGAAGATTTCTGATTCCCTCTTTGGCAGCGTAGGCTCCAAGCACCTGTTTACTGACTGCTCTTCACAAGGCACAGCTGCCCACCTCATGCATGTCAACTCTGGGGTATGATGAAAATGTTTGTGGGTATCATAAAGTTCTGGTCTCCTCCTCCCTGTGCAAAAGTGTGGCAGGGAGATGGTGACTTGGTAGGTTGTAACCTGTGGTAAACACAAACGAAGCTGTGTGTGTGTGTGTGTGTGTGTGTTGTGTGTGTGGTGGAAGGTGACTTGAGAGAGAGGGAGCAGGGGGTGGTTACAGATGGACACACACCTGGGACATATTGGACCATGTGCTCAGTAACCCTCATCAGACCAAGCATTTCCAGCAATTAACAGGTCTGTCACAACCTGACCGCTCTCCTACTGACTTCTCTAGCCCCTATTTTCACTGCTCACTTGGCACAGTATTGTTTTGTACTATTATTTAATTTGTGAGAGCCCAACTATACTACAAGATTTAGAAGAACAACACGGAATTATATGTCTCGGTATGGACTCTAGTGCTTTGCACACTGCTCTGTACATAGGTGGTATTCAATAAACTCCTTATGTGACTTGATGGAAATGAGACTAGGATGCCCTGTGGGATGTAGTAAATCACTGAAGTCTCTGGAATGAGACCTTAGTCATACTCACTGGGACAGGAGTTTGGTTCCATTTTCCACAAGCCTCGTCAGCACAATGATGCCATCCATGTTGATGAACTCAGTAGCAAAAGTCACGTCAGCAGAGCTTGGCCAGCACCTTCATGGTATCCAGCCGGGTCTCCATGTTGGATGACTGGGTCCTCTCCATCAGCTGGGCGTGCAGCCTGGGACTAGGAAACCAGGGACAAGACATGTGCCATCTGCTCCTTGGAGCAGGTTACTACTCTGTGGATAGCTCACAGAGGCTCTTTTGTGGACATCCAAACCTGAGGCAGAACTAGCTTTTTTAACACTGCTTAGGAGTTGCTAAATTGTGGGATCAATCAGGGAGTTATTAGCATACCAAAACAAATCTGTATTTATCTGTATCTTTTCTGTACCACTCTGGTCTATGGATTAAAAAAATTCCTACCAAGGGAATACCAGAGACATCTGGGAGGCCCACTAATGAGTCACAGAGAAACAGATATTGGTTTAATAGAGGAAGGTTGTCTATTAATTAAAGCTGTCTGGCTGGGTGCAGTGGCTCATGCCTATAATCCCAAGGCTTTGAAAGGCCAAGGCAGGAGGATTGCTTGAGACCAGAAGTTAGACACCAGCTTGGGCAACAGAGTGACACCCCGTCTCCACAAAAAATTTTTAAAAATGAGCCAGGTGTGGTGGTGCACACCTGTAGTCCTAGCTACTCAGGAGGCTGAGGTGGGAAGATTGCTTGAGCCCAGGAGTTCAAGGTTGCAGTAAGCTAGGACTGTGCCACTGCGTTGCAGCCTGGGTCATAGAGCAAGACTGTCTCTCAAAAATAAAAAAAATAAATTAAATAAAACTGGCCGGGCGCAGTGGCTCACGCCCGTAATCCCAGCACTTTGGGAGGCTGAGGCAGGCAGATCACAAGGTCGGGAGTTCGAGACCAACCTGACCAACATGGTGAAATCCCGTCTCTACTAAAAATGCAAAAATTAGCCGGGCATGGTGGCATGCACCTGTAATCCCAGCTACTCAGGAGGCTAAGGCAGGAGAATCACTTGAACCCAGGAGGCGGAGGTTGCAGTGAGCCGAGATCATGCCACTGCACTCCAGCCTGGGCGACAGAGCAAGACTCCATCTCAAAAAAAATAAATAAAATAAAATAAAATTTATAAAACTGTTAGACAGCAGAAGAGGTTTCTCTTGGGGTATTAAGCTCCCTGTCACCAGAAGCAATCAAGGAGAATGTGGACAACTATCTGTCAAAGATGCTGTAGAAGGGATTCTTGCATTGGGTGAAGAATTTAATCTAATGTTCTCTAAGCTCCCTTTTAATCCTAAAATGTGAAAAGCTTGATAATTTTTTAAAAACTTTCTCTCAAAATCCATATGATTATTCCTCAAAGTAACAGTTCTGGAGAAATTTTAAGAATATCAAGGAGCCAGAAACAATTTCCCAATCATTTTTTGAAAATGAAGGCTGATGAAGACAAAACCTCCTCCTAGCACATGAACTTTTTCTAGCAGGATGCCTGCCTCCTTTTCTGCAAACTGTGGCTAAAATCCCTCCTCTAGCATTCACTGGGCTTTCCTTCTGCTGAGCTTGTTAGTACATAGTACCTCACAATTTACTGTTTCATCATACTCTGTTTTTTGGGTGTTAATTTAATGTTCTCCACTAGAAAGGAAGAGCCTTAAGAGCAAAAACACTCCTGTCTTCTTTTTCTCAGTGTTAAGCAAGTGACTGGAGCCCAATTCCTGCGGCCACCACGGAGTCAGGCCTGTTGTCCCTCTCCCCTTTGCCTCTCCTCTTTTACTATTACAAAGCTGGCCCTTCACAGCACAATGCTCTCTGTGATAGAGAAGCCCTCACTCTGTCTACAGTGGACAAAACGTGCGCCACAGGAAAAGGTCACAGCACAGAACAATCTGAAGAGCACTGGTCTGCATCCCACTTAGAAACTTCCAACTCTGTCAATTTTCCTCCTGATACAGCATTTCTGGGCTGCTGCCTCCCGCTCCAGAGAGATGTGCTTCTGGGAAAGGCAACTGCACTGTGCAAGAGGTCGGAAATGTGTCAGCACTTCCATAAAAGTGTGTAACTCCCAGGCTGTCATATTAAATTACCAGAGCTTAGGAGGGAAGAATGAAGTCCTTAAAATGAGAAGAGTTCAGGAGAAGAGGGGGAGGCAGAAGAACATGATGGGAGGAATATGGGCCTAGAGTCAGGCAGACCTGGGTCTGAGAGCAGGCTTGGCTACTTTATTAGCTGTGTGACAAGTGGCAAGTAATTTAACCTCTCTAAGCCTTGGTTTCCTTGTCTACAGAATGTGGCTATTAAGAGTACCTATCTCATGGGACGTTTGTAAAGATTAGATGATTTAATTACACAAAGTATTTAGCAAAATACAGGCATTCAGTAAAGGTTGGCTGATATCACTTCATACCTCCCCTCCTCTCAGATGAACCAGTCTCTCTCTCTGCACCAAGAAAAGAGGTGCCATCACGCCCTTATTTTGCTAGCTGCGCTTCTACGAATGTAACCAAAGGTGCAATCATATTGGCTGTCTTCCTCATGGGCTTAGCAGTCAAGGTGATTCCCTCTACCTGGGCTTTGAGTCCTTCCTCTCCTGGTCCACTAAGATCCTGTTCTATTGATTACCTGCTTTCCTGCACCTTCAACCTTCCTCTCTTCCATCTTAACACATTCTTAAGGGCACATAAAAAATTGCAACAGAAACAACAACCAGGAAGGGTCAGAAATGTGGGGAACTGGGCAGATGGGGACAGGAGTTGCAGGGAGACCTTTTGCTACATCTCTGTGAAAATTTTTGATTTGTGAAACACATGAATGCTTTACGGGCTTTTAAAAAGCGCATCTTTTTGACTCTACATCCTCTTCACGTTATCACCTTCTCTGTGTTTTCTTTTAAAACCAAGCTTCTTGATACAGCAGTAGACTCAAAGTCCTTACTTTTTTACCTTTCTTTTACTTGACTCAGTTCAGTCTGGCCACCTGGCCTCCCCACCATAACTTTTTTGTGAAGATCACCAAGGTCCTCTTCACCTCCCAAGTCTTGAGACAGCTTCTCTGTTCTCAGTTTGCTAAATTTCTCTGCTCATTAAAAATTGCAGACCATGTTTTCCCCAATCCTGACACTCTCCCTGCCCAAAGCTCCTGTCACTTCACATTCTTGGTGTTCTTTCTACCCTTCTGGTTGCTTCCTTGGTGACCTTTAAGGGCTGCTCTTGCAAAAACCAGAGTCATTCTCCATTCTCCCCTTTCCTTCCACATCCAGCGTATCACCATACTCATAAAGGTTACCTCCTAGATACTCTTCATATCCTTTCATCTCCATTACCATTTGCCTTCCCTGGGCTGTTAACATTCCTCATTTGCCTCTTAAAAGGTTCCTACTACCACCAACCTACTTCTTAAGGCCCATCTTCCACACGGTCACTAAAGTCATCTTTCTAAAACTTAAAATCTAAACATAACATATCTTCCTGCTTAAAATCCTTCAATATCCCTAGTTTCCTTCTGGACAGAGTTCAAACCTATGAGCAGGCCATCAAGGAACATTGAATACCTGGCTTTTCAATGATTGCTACAAGCCTCCAGCCACCCAGCACTTCTGCTTTTCCCAAACACAGCAAACCTCTGTGCCTTGGCATATGCTGATTTCTCTGACTAGAATACTTTTCCTTTTCTTATTTCTCCAGCTAATTCTTGCTCATCCTTTAACATCTGAGCTAAGTGACCCTTTCTCTGGCAAGGCTTTCTGGAAATCTCCAGGCTGAGTTAGGTGGTCCCCTTTGTGAGTTCTCACAGCTCTCTAAGCAACTTTCTCTCAAGATCCTTGAGACAGGCCTTCAATTGCATGTGTTTACTCCCCACTAGGTGGTGAGAACCAAGACACTCTTATCTTCCTATATTATGTCCTGATACAAAAGGACTGACTTTTTAATCTCCAGAGTCCTTGTTTCTAGAACAGAGCCTGGCCCATGGTAGGTGCTCTTATTTGTTTGTGACATGAATAAACTCCTAAGGAAGGAAGAATACCTACTGGGGAGATAGCCAGTTGTAAGATTGTCTCATTTTTTTTTTTTTTTCTGAGACGGAGTCTCGCTTTGTTGCCCAGGCTGGAGTGCAGTGGCATGATCTCGGCTCACTGCAAGCTCCACCTCCCGGGTTCACGCCATTCTCCTGCCTCAGCCTCCCGAGTAGCTGGGACTACAGGCACCCGCCACCACGTCCAGCTAATTTTTTTTTTTTTTGTATTTTTAGTAGAGACGGGGTTTCACTGTGTTAGCCAGGATGGTCTTGATCTCCTGACCTCATGATCCGCCTGCCTCGGCCTCCCAAAGTGCAGGATTACAGGCGTGGGCCACCACGCCTGGCCCGATTGTCCCATTCTTAACGTCACTGCGAGTCTGGGTAGTGAAAAGCAAAGAAACAACAAAGGTAACTAAGATAAAATGTTAAAGTGGTACAAGCAAGTTGAATCAACATAATGTTTTGTCTTTTTTACAGTAGATGTAACAGGCTCTTCAGTCGGGCCCTCTTCTCCTGCTTATTCCTTGGCAAAGAGCTTCTAAGATCCTCTTCTAGCACCCTGGGCCCTCAGGAAGTAAAAGCCACCTTTTTCCAGCCACTAGGGAGGAACAAGGGCTGGTACTTCCCAGTCTGCCCAGGGAGCGACTCTTTACCCAACACATGGAAGCTACCTGGATGCTGAGTGAAGATAAATAGTGCTGTCTCCTTGGGTCATTTACTTCCAAGCAAGGCCCACATTGATTTTGCCTTTCCCTATATTAACCTGTTCAGTGATGTACAGCTGAGGATCATCTGCATGACGGAGGGTGTAATACTCTGGGTTTGGCAACGACCACCTACGCAAGAGAAAAACAGTATATCCCACTTGGCCACTCTCTTGTCCAGAAGCTTCTCATAAGTCATTTTCAGTAGAGTTGCTCAAGGGATCAGGTGGCCTATTTGGAATACAGTGGAAAAAAACAAAGCTTTAGGTTGTCATGTTGAAAAAATCACAGCCTCAGCCTTTTGTAAAGACAAGCACCACAAAAGGAGGTGTGCGGAACTGAGGAGGGGTCTCAGATCCTACCATGACCTCAAGCAGGGCAATGCTAGACTTACAGGAAAAAATTAAGAAGTATAAACGTCTTAGGGGTATTGTTGTCAACTGTACCTCCTTCCCAAGACAATGATTCCCAAGAGCCCCTTTCTGGGGACCTGCCTAACTGGAGATCCTTCCCAGAACTCCCCTCAAGGTGTGGCAGTGCTCCTTCAGTCAGAGCTGCCACTGTCAAAAACGAGGTCCATTTCAACCTACCCATCACAAACTTCCTTGATAATGGATGCCAGGGGCCATTTCTGAAAAAGAGAGAAAGAGCCTTCAATAGCAGCAACATCCTACCCAAGCCAAGGTTCAGACAAGAGAGCCTGCCAAGCAGGGTCAAGCCGGGGCATGAGAATGTACTTCTTTCCTAACAGCTTTTGTTAAAGAGGAAGCCTCTCCCAAGCCATGGTGACAGACCTTCCCTAGGGTGGGCCAGGCCCAAAGCTTAGCCTTCCTGTTGATGGTTCTTACTCTTGATGCCAGTAGTCCCCATCCCTCAAGATATCCTCTGCCATGCACTCCCCAGGTGCCTTTCCTCACTTCAGGAGTGTACCTGGTTGATTTCAAGGAGCTGGGCATTAGCATCTGGACACTCAATGGCCACTTTGACAATGTCTGATGGTGGTGGCATTTTTCCCAACCAGTGGGCTCTAATTCTGCAAGACAAGAACACAGACACGACTGCCTGGGGAGAAAGAATCTGAAAGACAGAAAAAGTCAGAGTACCTCTTCATTTTTCACTCTTGTTACATGTTTTGAAGAGTCTACAGACAGACACTGCATAAAGTAACACATGAAACTACTTGGTTTGAATTTTTCTAGATCATACCAAAACCTCTCCTTGGGGTTTTGTTTTTTGACATTAAATCAGCAAGAAAAAATGGGACAAACTGTCTATCATCCATAGATCAGCCAGCAGCAACATGTGCCAATGTGGCACTTCAGTTTAAGAGTCGAGAGGACTCAGTGGTAGAAGAACGTATTTACTGCAAATTCCTGTCTTGAGACCTTGGGAGGAGAGTGTGGGGGAAAGAGAGATCAGACTGTTACTGTGTCTATGTAGAAAGAAGTAGACATAAGAAACTCCATTTTGTTCTGTACTAAGAAAAATTATTCTGCCCTGAGATGCGGTTAATCTGTAACCCTAGCCCCAACACTGTGCCCACAGAGACATGTGCTGTGTTGACTCAAGGTTTAATGGATTTAGGGCTGTGCAGGATGTGCTTTGTTAAAAATGTGTTTGAAGGCAGTATGCTTGGTAAAAGTCATCACCATTCTCTAATCTCGAGTACCCAGGGACACAATGCACTGCAGAAGGATGCAGGGACCTCTGCCCAAGAAAGCCTGGGTATTGTCCAAGGTTTCTCCCCACTGAGACAGCCTGAGATATGGCCCTGTGGGAAGGGAAAGACCTGACCATCCCCCAGCCCGACACCCATAAAGGGTCTATGCTGAGGAGGACTAGCGAAAGAGGAAGGCCTCTTTGCAGTTGAGATAAGAGGAAGGCATCTGTCTCCTGCTCGTCCCTGGGAATGGAATGTCTCGGTGTAAAACCTGATCATACATTCTATTTACTAAGATAGGAGAAAACCACCTTGTGGCTGGAGGTGAGACATGCTGGCGGCAATACTGCTCTTTACTACACTGAGATGTTTGTGTAGAGTCAAACATAAATCTGGCCTACATGCACATCGAGGCACAGCACCTTTCCTTAAACTTATTTATGACCCAGAGACCTTTGCTCACATGTTTTCCTGCTGACCCTCTCCCCACTATTACCCTATAGTCCTGCCACATCCCCCTCTCCAAGATGGTAGAGATAGTGCTCAACAAATACTGAGGCAACTCAAGAGACCAGTGCCGGTGCGGGTCCTCCGTATGCTGAGCGCCGGTCCCCTGGGCCACTGTTCTTTCTCTATACTTTGTCTCTGTGTCTTATTTCTTTTCTCAGTCTCTCATCCCACCTGACAAGAAATACCCACAGGTGTGGAGGCGCTGGCCCCCTTTAGGAGAGAAGCATATGCTCCGAAACAGATAAGAATAGCCAGGCTTTTCTTGGTTGAGTGGTTAGCTGGAGGAGCCAGGCTCCTTCTGTTCTGCAGTCATCCTAGGAAGATCCCAGCATCAGCGGGGCACAGCTACATGCTCTCTTGCTTCCCTCGCACTCATCAATGCCACTGCTTTCCCCTCAAAGGACACTATGCAAAGCCACCTCTGTGTGGGATGACATCAGAAAATGGGGAAGAGAACTGGGACAGGAAATGCTATTTTCATCCCTATTGCCAAGGGCAATAGCAGCTGACAACTCAAGTGGAGGGAGATAAAGATATCTTCACACAAGGGCCCGTCTTATAAGGACAAGGCTTTGCAAGTACCTCTGACCACCTCCCCCACTTCTCTCCAAAATAAAGGAAAATAAATTATCTTGAGCAAGTCTGGAAGATGGGCCCAAGTGACTGGTATCCTAGGCAACTCTGATAGCTTACTGGTATTCCAAGCAGTAACTAAAGCATTCTCTCTCCAAGGTCTGACGAAGGGAAGTCACTTGGCTGATGGATTATTTCGATGTATATTTACACTCCTTGCCTACAGGTTCAGGAGAGGGCTTTTTTTTTTTTTTTTTTTTTTGAGACGGAGTCTCGCTCTGTCGCCCCAGGCTGGAGTGCAGTGGCTGCGATCTTGGCTCACTGCAAGCTCCGCCTCCCGGGTTCACGCCATTCTCCTGCCTCGGCCTCCCAAGTAGCTGGGACTACAGGCACCCGCCACCACGCCCGGCTAATTTTTTTGTATTTTTAGTTGAGACGGGGTTTCACCGTGTTAGCCAGGATGGTCTTGATCTCCTGACCTCATGATCTGCCTGCCTCGGCCTCCCAAAGTGCTGGGATTACAGGCGTGAGCCACCGCTCCTGGCCAGGAGAGGGCTCTCTCTTAATGAAAAAGACCTTTCTGCATCTTCCAGATTTAGCCATTCACCCACAATTCATGTCTCGCTTATGGGGACCACCTGCCTCTCCTGGCATACAAAGCATAGCTGTTGTGAGGCTATTATGCACGTATGCTATCAATTTTTCAGCCTAAACACAGATGCCAGTTCTCACAGCCTGATAAGTATAAACCTCTTTGATGAAAAGGAGTAAAAGTCCTGTCCCCCACAAGCCCCCCGGCCTCAGAAAGAGGGATGCTTTCATGACCATTTCCTAGTCAGGATGGGATGCTTCAGAAGTCTACTGTCATAAAAAACCAGCATTTCCAGACCATGACAATGTAAAGGAACTAGTTTTCAAAGTGCTTTCACTTACTTTATTGTGTCCTCCCAGCAGCACCATGAATTAGGCAGAAGAGGATTATCACCTGCATTTGAAGATGGCACAACTAAAGCTCAGTGTTTTGTCAAGTGCCCAAGGTCACCCAGCTAGTAAGTCATAATAGGGGACAGAACTCGGACTGGCTTCAGCCAGTGCTTTCCCCTTTTCCTCTGAGCCAGCTTCAACTTCTGTCCACTGCAATTAAACGCAGCCTAAAGGGATTGAAGTGGGTTGGCCTTATGGCCCCCAAAGCTTCCATAACTTCTGTGGCTTGTGGCAGAATTTTTCACAGTAATTTTTACATGCCTAGACACACAACAAACCTCAGAAAAGAAACTGGCCCTATCAGCATAATTTCTGGGGAGACTGCTCTGTTGCAGTTACAGCAGGGCAGGGAGTTCTCGTTCCAGGGGTGGCGCCATCAATCTCTGGATGCCTAGAGATGCGTCCTTATCCTTATCGGCAAAGCGGCTGCAATTAGTAGACTAGGACTGCATGGTTGTGAGGTCAATTTTAAAAACTGAGATATAATTTACATACAATAAAATGCAGAGGGCTTAAGTGTACATATGTTTGTATGCATATACATAATAGACATAAACACATGCATCTCCCTGTAACCGCCACTCAAAACGGGACACTGAACATTTTCATCACCCTAGAAAATTACTTCATACTTCCTCTTCCTGTCAATCCTTTCAGTCCTTTAAAGGGGAATTTCTGACTTCTTATCATCATCCATGAGTTTTGCCTGTTTTTGTACTCCATATAAACGGAACTATACAATATGACTTTTTAGATCATTTGTTTTTCAATTTGGCTTCTTCTTATTTTTAAAATAAGCAGGTACAAAAGGCACAACAGAAAGAGCACTGGGCTAGGATAATTGTCCCTGGTGAAAAAAGTGACTGGATTTAGAGCCAAAGGCCTCAAGACCCAATCCTAGCTCTTTCATGATGTATACATGCCCCTTTAACCAAATCTCAGTTTTCTTCTATTGAGGGATGGATAATTGTCCCTGCTGAAAAAAGTGACTGGATTTAGAGCCAAAGGCCTCAGGACCCAATCCTAGGTCTTTCACGATGTATACATGCCCCTTTAACCAAATCTCAGTTTTCTTCTATTGAGGGATGGATAATTGTCCCTGCTGAAAAAAGTGACTGTATTTAGAGCCAAAGGCCTCAGGACCCAATCCTAGGTCTTTCACGATGTATACATGCCCCTTTAACCAAATCTCAGTTTTCTTCTATTGAAAGATGTGAGTGTAGGCCAGGTGCGGTGGCTCATGCTTGTAATCCCAGCACTTTGGGAGGCCGAGGCAGGCGGATCATGAGGCCAGGACATCGAGACCATCCTGGCTAACATGGTGAAACCCTGTCTCTACTAAAAATACAAAAAATTAGCCAGACACAGTGGCGGGCGCCTGTAGTCCCAGCTACTCGGGAGGCTGAGGCAGGAGAATGGCGTGAACCCGGGAGGCGGAGCTTGCAGTGAGCCGAGATAGAGATCGCACCACGGCAGTCCGGCCTGGGCGAAAGAGCAAGACTCCGTCTCGAAAAAAAAAAAAGAAAGAAAGAAAGACGTGAGTGTAGAACTAAAGCATGTCTCAGGTGACTTCTAAGTCTAAAAGTCCATGATTCTTAAGTGGAATTTTAAAAATCCAAGTGAGGATGCCCATTTTAAAGTCCTCACCAAATGAAGTTACACCCTTCCTTAATTTCGATGGTGCTGCTAAGAAACAAACCACATTATTTTTAACTCCTTTCTGAAAACCATCTTTGGAGATAATTAAGCCAAAGCTCATTATGTTATACCTATTATTTTCTCTTGACCCCATATGACATATCCTAGGTTGATGCTCTGTTTATTAAAGTTAGCACTGAATGATTCTCAGCTGTTCAAAAGTTCATATACATTTTAAAGCATGGAGATTTGCAACTACTGAACTATTTGAAAGATATTAATAAGCCCCCATTCTCAGTGACTCTGTCCTTCCCACAAAGCCCAGGCAGCCTATCTGAACTGAATGACACTCTCCACAACCCTGCCATAGCTGATGGGACCAAAGTGAATACCCAACTTTAGCTGAATTATTCCAATTCTTTCTCTTGAATTTAAAATACACAGATTGGCCAGGCGTGGTGACTCACGCCTGTAATCCCAGCACTTTGGGAGGCTGAGGCAGGTGGATCACCTGAGGTCAGGAGTTCAAGACCAGCCTGGCCAACATGGCGAAACCCCGTCTGTACTACAAATACAAAAATTAGCTGGGCGTGATGGCAGGCGCCTGTAATCCCAACTACTCAGGAGGCTGAGGCAGGGAGGATCGCTTGAACCTGGGAGGCAGAGGTTGCAGTGAGCCTAGATTGCACCATTACACTCCAGCCTGGGCGACAGAGTGACACTCCATCATAAATACATACATACATACATACAAACAAACAAAAGACACAGACTAAGGGAACTGGGTGATAACGGGCCCTGGAGAAGTAAGATCATAGTAAGCTTCAGAGCAGTTACCATGGCAAGCCAAAGATTCGCATAAGCCAAAAATACGGAGAATAAAAAACCAAGAGCCTTTCAGAGGAAGTGATTCTGCAAGAGGAATCCAGAAATATATAAATGAGCTGAGGCCAGAAATCAGAAAGATGAGAAAAGCCATTACCTGGTAACTTTCCCGATTACGTGGCTACACTTCCTATGCTTGGGGTACCTGAAAGTCCACTGTATCCTGCCAATAAAACTCCTATAAATTAAGCTAGTCTATGTATCTACTCATTGCAACTAATAAGCCTAAGACCAAAACTGCCCCCAAGTTCTGCAGGAACTCTAAAATGGAGGTCTGAGCAGACAGCAGCATCACTGGCATAAGATGATGGTTCTGGGTAAGCACTTAATTAACAATGGCTGAATTAATGACAGCAAAATCCACAGGTTTGCTCTTATCCACTAGGTAAGTCTGATTTGTTTGCAACAGATCAGTTATACAGTAACTTCGTAGTAATCGTATATCTAATAGTAACGTACAGGTAGCGTCTTTATTTTTATTTTATTTTTATTTATTTATTTTTTTGAGACGGAGTCTCGCTGTCTCCCAGGCTGGAGTGCAGTGGCGCGATCTCTGCTCACTGCAAGCTCCGCCCCCCGGGTTCTCGCCATTCTCCTGCCTCAGCCTCCTGAGTAGCTGGGACTACAGGCACCCGCCACCACGCCCGGCTAGTGTGTGTAGTGTGTGTGTGTGTGTGTGTGTGTGTGTGTGTGTGTGTGTATTTTTAGTAGAGATGGGGTTTCACTGTGTTCGCCAGGATGGTCTCGATCTGCTGACCTCGTGATCAGCCTGCCTTGGCCTCCCAAAGTGCTGGGATTACAGGCGTGAGCCACCGCGCCCAGCCTTTTTTTTTTTTTTTTTTTGAGATGGAGTCTCGCTGTCTCCCAGGCTGGAGTGCAATGGCGCGATCTCCACTCACTGCAACCTCCACCTCCTGGGTTCAAGCGATTCTCCTGCCTCAGCCTCCCGAGTAGCTGGGATTACAAGTGCTCGCCACCACACCCAGCTAATTTTTGTATTTTTAATAGAGACGGGGTTTCACCATGTTGGCCAGGCTGCTCTTGAACTCCTGACCTCAGGTGATCCACCTGCCTCAGCCTCCCAAAGTGCTGGGATTATAGGCGTGAGCCACTATGCCCAGCCCAGGTAGCCTCTTTATAGTTGATTGCTCACTTCTATAGCATTATTTTAGTTGATGCTCATAAGAACTCTGAAAAACATTCCTATCTTACAGGTAAGGCAACTGAAGTTCAGATGGATCGACAAACTTGTTCTCCATGTACCTCTTTCTACACCTCCCTCCCAAATGAAGGAAGAAAAAAAAAGAAGGGAGGGAAAAGAACAGTAAGTCAACCCAACACTTCAGAACTGGGTCTGAAGCCAAGGTCTTAGGACTGATCCCTCTACATAATACTTCCTTACATGATGACATTAGCTAACAATTACATAATGCTAGGGCACTATTTTAAAGGCTCTATATATACTAATTAATTTAATCTGCACAGCAACGCTGTGTGGTATGTTATTATCCCCACTTTAGAGACAAGAAAATAGAGGCACAGAAGAGTTAAGTAGCAGGCTCAGTGTCACACAGCTAGGAAGTGGCACAGCCAGAATTTGATCCCAGGTTATCTGGTATTGCTGGAAAGCCATGAGAAAGCAGGTGGCTCTGCACTTGACCCGCAGCAGGTGCTTTGTGGCAATTTCTGGTTTGTGTATCCGAAACCAAAGCACACTGAGGCTAAGAAACTTTCACAAGAACTCACCATTGTATCAAAAGATAGCACTCCACTGTCTACAGGTGGGCCACGGTCCCTTGTGTGCTATTTGGTCCTTTACAATCTAGCCAGACTCTTCCCTGGACTACCTGCTATTTCTATAAGGCCGTGTTCTTTCAATTCTTCTGTACCTTTGCATATTCTCTTCCTCCTACTGACTGTCAGAACAGCTCCTATTCAAGCATCAAAGCCTAGTTCAGATCAGATGCTACCTCTTCCCTGTACTAGTCTTAGCTTTCTCTAACTTTTCCTGGCAAAACTAAATAGGACAGGGGCCTCTGTGTTCTCACAGCATCCTGTTCATACTTCCATTAGCGAGTGTGATCTTGTCATACTCTA
The DNA here is from genome assembly GCF_000001405.40 of Homo sapiens. Lineage (NCBI taxonomy): Eukaryota > Metazoa > Chordata > Mammalia > Primates > Hominidae > Homo > Homo sapiens. Next base: position 45,264 of record NT_187659.1, on the reverse strand, counting down.
TTATAGTTACATATTTACATATCTCCACTAGCTCCTCCTCCAGGACAGGTATAACTCTGCAGTGTCAACCTAGCACAACACTTGGTGTCCAGCGAAGGCTCAGTAAGCACCTGTGTCTGCTTAAACCCGATGACTCTGACTTCTTCCAAGCTGGAACCAAGCTGGCTCCAAATGGACAGGGATGGGCATGAATTGCGCAGGTTGTCTGGTGTTCCCTCTGTGTCCCAATACCCTTTCACTACAAAGTATTTTCATTGTTTAACAGTTTGTTTTGGCTGGGCGCAGTGGCTCACACCTGTAATCCCAATGCTTTGGGAGGTGAAGGCAGGAGGATCACTTCAGGCCAGGAGTTAGAGACCTGTTTCTACAAAAAAAATAAAACATTAGCTGGGCATGGTGGCATGTTCCTGTAGTCCCTAGCTACTTAGGAGGCTGAGGCAGGAGAGTCGCTTCAGCCCAGAAGTTCGAGGCAGCAGTGAACTATGATCATGTCACTGAACTCTAGCCTGGGTGACAGAGCAAGATCCTGTCTCTATTAAAAAATAAAAATTAAATTAAAGAACTGTTGTTTTCATATCAAACATTAGAATAATTCTTACTGAAAAATCAGGGTTAGCACACCTAACTCTAGTTAAAGAGGAAAACATCTCTCTGCTTTTCTCCCTATGGAATAGAAACATCAGGAGATAGGAGACTAGAAGTAATTCTATTCTCCAGATAAGATTCCCAGGATAAAATATATCCTTGTAGGGAACCCTCCCAGCACATGTTTGCTTACTCTCTTCATTTTCATTCCAGAAAGGAAGTGGAAATTAGGTAGAAGGAATTCAATAACATTGCAAAATTCTCAGGGTTATAAATGGCCTCTTGCTCCACCACTCAGCAGTACTGTAGCTCAACCGCAAACCACCAGAATAAAGGAGCTCTAGTTCCACATCAAGGCCCAGAGGGCCCCTTCCAGATTAAACAACTCTCCACCCTTCTCCCTTCCACCCCTCTTTAAGCATTACAGATATAAGGATGATTTGGAAAATCAAAATGCTACAAAACAGGAGAGGCACACACTGACCTGAAGACAATTTTACTGTAAGTCATTAAGAATAAAAGGCCAGTTTCTCAAATATAGAGCTGGGAAAAGTATAGAAAAATAGGAACATTAGTGTCTCCAATAGAGCAGTCTCTAAGTGGCTTCTAGAAGGTGTGCTTATAAAATCAGCACTGTTACAGAAGACCCCATGGAGCTTTATCAATCACCCGTACAGTGACTGCTGCTTCACGGAGCTGGAGTCTGACAGCAGGGTTGGAAAATCCATCTCAAGGAAGGAAGTGAAAGATGATCTCCTTCTATTAGTAAGGACCCCGCCAGCACGGGGTCTGAAGGAACGTGATTTCCTTCCAAATGCAAGAGGCAGCTTTATTTTTCCCCCAAACTTTTTTTTTCTTTTTGGTATGCAGTCTTAGAATGAAGGAAAAGGCTTTGGTTCCCTGCGTTAAATCATAGGTTGTGAGCTCTAAGCGGTCGTCTGGTGGCACTCCGCCCTGTGCCCAGCGGGCACTTACCGCACACTCAACAGTGGGGATAGCTGTGGTTTGGGGAACTGAGTGGGAGTGACTTTCGTGTCAGAGGCTGTGAGCAGCCGCTCTGCTCACACCGAGTGGGGCTGACCGTGGGCGCTGAGCAGAGGCAGAAGGGTACAACCCGGCTGTGCTTTTTGGAAGGGATCCCGGAGGTGGCATTCGTCACTGCACCTGCGGATCGGAACAAGGCTGGGCACCGCGCCAAGGACTCACTCCTGCTGTCTCTCTTCATGCTCACAGCAGCCCTGTGATGGAGGAGCACCCTGATCCCTTCGCTGCAGATGAGGACACAGGCTCACAGAGGGTCCGAGATCTTACAGCTGGTGAGGGGCAGAGCAAAACGCCAACCTATTCCTGTTGGATTCCAAAGTTTATACTTTAATCGTTCGTCTAGCAGATTCTTACAACAATCCTGGGAGGTGTGTATTCAGTTGTCACTTTGCAGATAAACTGATACTCAGCAAAGAGACTACATAGTGACTACCGCTTATAGGGCACTGCACAGTCTGCAAAGCAGTTTTACATGTTGTTTCATTTGATCCTCAAAACATCTTGGAATTAAAGATGATTTTTCTTAGTCCTATTTTACAGGTGAATAAAGTGAGGCTTGGGGAGGTTGAGGCTTAGCCATAGCTAACATTGCTAAAGCTCTGGCAGGAGTTACTCTTTCTCCTTCTCACTGGCTGGCCCAGCCTTGACCTTGTGATGATGATGATGACGTGCTAGGGGACAGAGCCACAGCACAGAAGGTGCCGAATGCTACCTGCCGACTTGGGACACTCACTTCATACTCTTATGTGAAAAAGAAATGATCTTCTCCGTTCTTTTTATTACTAATTTTGATAGCAGGGAGGGCTGTTAGAGCCAACCCTGCACTCACACAACACTGAGGAAGAAAGCCTTAAATTTTGTACCCTGGGTGCCTCACTTTGCTTCATTCTAGTCCTGACCCTGCTTAATACACATTTATCCAAGGAATGAGTCACTCACTTAAGCTTTACAAGACTGTGTAATTTCTTTTGCTGATATTGCCAGTGCAAGTTCTTTGATTGCAAGTCTTAAGAATCAATTCTGGCTAACTTTACCTGAAAAGGATTTTATTGGCAGGCTAGTGTCTAACTCACAGAGGTAACACGAAGCTGGAGAATCAGGCTTAGAAAAGGTTAGAAAGCGGAGATGTTTTGAGAGTTTAGGCAGGCAAGTGAATCAATTCCATGTTTTTTTTCCCTTTCTTGACCAGAGCTTTCTTTGATGAGTCAAAGTCCCTGGAGCAAGGGTTCAATTGGCTGAGCTCAGGTAACATGTCCACACTTTAGCTAAGGAGGGCAGGCACCTTGATGGACAGCTCCACCAAGACTGCACAGGAGTGCAAAGTTGCAGATCCCTCTTCCTCCACCTCAGCTGCTCCCAGTGGGCAACTAAGTTCAGGTGCCCTGTTTTCAGGCTGGGATCAAATAGGAGGAGTTCCTGCAGTGGAATGTCATGATTACACAAATGCAATTGTGTCTGGCATGTGGGAGAGCATAGCAGATATCCTGAGCTTTGTAACCTTATAGACCTTTGTGCTATTTACCAGCTGTTTGTCCCTGGGTAAGTTACTAGATCTCTCTGAGCCTGTCTCCTTGTGTGTACAATGGGGAGAATAACAGTACCAGCCTTAATGGATTGTTGTGAGAAGTGAGATCACTGCAAATGTACAACACTTAGCAGAATGTCTGCATATAAGTGCTCAATAAATTGTAAGTTATAAAATAGTAACATTATAGTAGGCCTTCCATAACTACTTATTGTGTGAGTGAATTATCTACCCCTCTCATTTCTCTAATCCATTTGACTTTTGTTTGTTTCTTGTTTTTGAGACAGAATCTCCCTCTGTCACTCAGGCTGGAATGCAGTGGCACGATCTTGGTTCACTGCAACCTTCGCCTCCCAGATTCAAGAGATTCTCCTGCCTCAGCCTCCCAAGTAGCTGGGACTACAGGTGTGCACCACAACACCCGGCTAATTTTTGTATTTTTAGTAGAGACAGAGTTTCACCATGTTGGCCAGGCAGGTCCCAAACTCCTGATCTCAAGTGATCTGCCTGCCTCAGCCTCCCAAAGTGCTGGGATTATACGCATAAGCCACCGCACCCGGCCAATATGGCCCATCTTTAGAGTGGTGGGGAGCTTAGAGATGAATTTTTTTTTTTTTTTGAGACAGAGTCTTGCTCTGTCGCCCAGGCTGGGGTGCAGTGGCGCGATCTCGGCTCACTGCAACCTCCGCCCCTCCAGGTTTAAGCAATTCTCTGCCTCAGCCTTTGGAGTACATGGGATTACAGGCGCGTGCCACCACACCTGGCTAATTTTTTTTTGTATTTTTAGTAGAGACAGGGTTTCGCCATCTTTGCCAGGCTGGTCTTGAACTCCTTACCTCGTGATCCACCCGCCTCGGCCTCCCAAAGTGCTGGGATTACAGGCGTAAGACACTGTGCCAGGCCACAAAATCTTTACCATGGTCTACAAGACCCTAGATGATCTCGCACTTTACTTCTCAGACTTAATCTATTCCTACTCTCCCCCAACTTACTGTTTGAGTCTCACATACTAATTTCTCATTCTGTGAACAGTTTCTTCTCATCTCTGTGCCTTTGGACTTGCTGTTCCCTCTCTTGGAATGCTTTTCCCCCAGCTCATCACATGGCTTCCATCTTCACTTTATTCAGGCCATGCTCTGTTATCTCCTCCTCCAAGTCTTTCCTGACAACTCTATCTCCTATCATCCAGGGCCTCCACCCCTCTTCTTCCCTTAACCTGCTCTAATCTTCTCCCTAGCATTGCATGTCATATTAACTTTTTTTGTTTCTAACTTCCACATTAGTTGTAAGCTAACTCCATGACAGCAGAGATGTTGACTGTCTTGTTCATAGCTGTATCTCTGCTACCTAGAACATATCTATTATAATACATGATATGGGGTCAATATCTTTTTTGACCATGTAAAATAATGGTTGCATCACTGAATAAAACAAAAATGACCTATGAGTAAATGGAAGGTCTCTATGAACTTGACTTATACTTAAATCATTCTAAACACTTACAGATTAATCATGGCCCTTCTCACATAGAATTATTGTCAAGTACAACCCCTGCCACCACACCAAAAGGCTATTTTAATTTTTTTGAGATGGAGCCTTGCTCTGCCGCCTAGGCTGAAGTGCAGTGGCGCTATCTTGGCTCACTGCAACTTCCCCCCCGCCCCACCAGATTCAACCAATTCTCCAGCCTCAGCCTCCCGAGTAGCTAGGATTGCAGACACCTGCTGCCACGCCCAGCTAATTCATTTATTTATTTATATTTTTATTAGAGACAGGGCTTCACCATGTTGGCCAGGCTCGTCTCGAACTCCTGACCTCAAGTGATCCGCCTACCTTGGCCTCCCAAAGTGCTGAGATTACAGGCGTGAGCCACCGCACCTGGCCACAGCCAGTTTTGTTTCATTTATATTCCCACTTCATTTATATACATTCCTTCTTCCTCTGAATTATTTTGAAGTGAAAACTATACATCATATCATTTTTTAATTACCTTATATGTATCTGTAGAAGACAAAGAATTTTTAAAAATATATTCACAATGCCATTAAATACCAAAAAATTAATACATTCTGAAAATAGCCGCAAATCCAGAGTTCACATTTTCTTGACTTTTTCATAAGTGATTTTTTCTAGGTTATCTATTTCAATCAGATACCTGTTTGCTCATATTTACATTCCTAACTGAACAATGTCTAAACTTAAACTGACATAAAACACAGACGATCTTATGACCAAATGCTTAGTGCAAGAAAAAACTTCAAATTGCAAGAGGAGTCCCTCCAAATATAGAAAAGACCAGTATTTTAAGAGATATGTTAACTAAAATGTGGCAATGTAAGAAGCAGAGCAGGAAGAACCTTTAAGTCTGAAACTTGCAAGTCAATTTCATAGTCAGTTTCCCTGGTCCTTCCACAACAACCTCTGGCATACCTACAATGAAGGTAACAATAGTAGCTATTTCAGAGCAGGAAAAGGCTTAGAGCAGTGCTAGAAGAGGGTTGAGGCTATATAAAGTTTAGCTATTTGTATATTGTAACAAACCTACAACTTTTTTTTTTTAAGTCAATAATAGAGTTCTTTGGGAAGAGTAGCAGCCTCCTGTCGGGGAGCACCTGCAGTTCCACTAAGTGACCACTGGTGTCCGCTAACCTTTGCCTCTACTTCTCTCAGTAATACACTGTCCAGCTGCTCCTTGATTTAACAATTTTATATACTTTCTTTTTTTTTTTTTCCTTTCCCTTTTCCTGAGACACAGTCCCGCTCTGTCCTCCAGTCTGGACTACAGCAGGGCCATCATGGCTCACTGCCACCTCCACCCCCCACCACACCCCCCCACACCCCCCGGGCTCAAGCAATCCTCCTGCATCAGCCTTTGGAGTAGCTGGGACTACCCGCGGGGCCCACCACGCCCGGCTAATCTTTGTGGCTTTTGTTTTGTTTTTCCGTTAAGAGACCGGGTTTCGGGCCAGGCGCAGTGACTCACGACTGCAATTCCAGCAGCCCGGGAGGCCGAGGCCGGCGGATCACCCGAGGTGAGGAGCTGGAGACCAGCCCGACCAACATGGAGAAACCGCATCTCTACCAAAAAAATAAAAAATAAAAAACTAACCGGGCATGGTGGCTGACGCCCGCAATCCCAGCCACTCAGGAGGCTGAGGCAGAAGAATCACCCAAACCTGGGAGGCGGAGGCCTAGGCGAGCCGAGACCGCGCCACTGCCCTCCAACCTGGGCAAAGGAGCGAGACTCCGCTTCAAGAAAAAAAAAAGAGATCAGGTTCCACCATATTGCCCAGGCAGGTCTGGAACTCCTAGGCTCAAGCGATCTGCCGCACTCGGCCGTCCAAAGTCCTGGGATCAAAAGCGTGAGCCACCACTCCGGGCCGATCTATTCCTTTCTGATTAATAAATTGGGCCGGGCGCGGTGGCTCAAACCTGCAATCCCAGCACCCCGGGAGGCCGAGGCGGTTGGGTAACGTGAAGTCGGGAGTTTGAGACCATCCTGACCAATATGGAGAAACCTCGTCTGGACCAAAAAAAAAAAAAAAAAATTAGCCGGGTATGGTGGTTCATGCCTGGAATCCCGGCCACTCGGGAGGCTGAGGCATGAGGACCACCCAAACCCGGGAGGCGGAGGCCGCGGGGAGCCGAGACTGCGCCACTGCACTCCAGCCTGGGCAACAAGAGCGAAACTCCCTCTCAAAAAAAACAAGCAAAAAAGAGACCTGGTTTCACCATGTTGCCCAGGCCGGTCTGAACTCCTAGGCTCAAGTGATCTGCCACGCTCAGCCATCCCAAGTCCTGAGATCAAAAGCGTGAGCCACCAAGCCAGGCCGATCACGCCTGTAATCCCAGCACTTTGGGAGGCTGAGGTGGGTGGATCAGCTGAGTTCAGGAGTTCGAGACCAGCCTGGCCAATATGATGAAACCCCGTCTCTACCAAAAATACAAAAAAATCAGCCGAGTGTGTGGCGGGCGCCTGTAATCCCAGCTACTCAGAAGGCTGAGGCAGGAGAATCGCTTGAACCTTGCAGGTGGAGGTTGCAGTGAGCCGGGATAGCGCAACTGCACTCCAGCCTGGGTGACAGAGACTCCGTCTCGAAAAAAAATAATAAAAATAATAAATTGGGCCGTGCGCCCTGGCTCATGCCTGCAATCGCAGCACCCCCGGAGGCCGAGGAGGGCGGGTAACCTGAGGTCGGGAGTTTGAGACCAGCCTGACCAACAGGGAGAAACCCCCGTCTGTACCAAAAAATAAATAAATAAATAAATAAATCAGCCGGGCATGGTAGCTCATGCGTGCAATCCCAGCCACTTGGAGGCTGAGGCAGGAGAACCAACTAAACCCGGAGGCAGAGGCCTAGCGAACCGAGACCTTGCCACCGCCGTCCAGCCTGGGCAACAAGAGCGAAACTCCGCCCCCCACCCAAAAAAAAAAAGACCAGGTTTCACCATGTTGCCCAGGAGGGTCTGGAACTCCTAGGCTCAAGAGATCCGCCGTGCTCGGCCATCCAAAGTCCTAGGATCACAAACGTGAGCCACCACGCCAGGCTGATCTATTCCTTTCTGATTAATAAATTGGGCCAGGCGCGGTGGCTCACGCCTGCAATCTCAGCATCCCTGGAGGCTGAGGCGGGCAGTTAACCTGAGGTCGGCAGTTTGAGACCAGCCTAACCAACATGGAGAAACCCCATCTGTACCAAAAAGAAAAAAAAAAAAATGAGCTGGGCATTGTGGCTCACGCCTGCAATCCCAGCCACTAGGGAGGCTGAGGCTGGAGAACCACCCAAACCCGGAGGCGGAGGCCACGGGGAGCCAAGACCACGCCACTGCTCTCCAGCTGGGCTAGAAGAACGAAATTCCGCCTCAAAAAAGAAAAAAATTAATAATAATAATAATAAATAGACCAGGTTTCACCATGTTGTCCAGGCCGGTCTGGAACTCCTAGGCTCATGGGATCTGCCGGGCTTGGCCGTTGAATGTCCTGGGATCACAAGCGTGAGCCACCACGCCAGGCCTATCTATTCCTTTCTGATAAATAAATTGGGCCGGGCGCGGTGTCTCAGGCTTGCAATCCTGTAGCGGGATTTTTAAGGAATTAGAGAGACTGATGGGGTTTAGGAGGATATTATTTAGGTGCACTGGCCCAGTCAGCTTAACATTTAAAGCATTGAGTTCTGGAACCAAGGGCTATCTTTTAAGCATTTTGTGGGGCGGGGGTAGATCTGTGCAGGGGGAAGCATAATACAGAAGCGAGAAACAAAGATAATTAATTGAAATATGCATTATATTATTTTTTACTATTTAAGGAAAAATACGTTTTGTTGAGTTTGTTTAGTGACCTTGCAATTGCACAGTTAGGGAATTAGCCGGGCACGATGGCTCACGCCTGCAATCCCAGCCACTCGGGAGGCCGAGGCGGGCAGATAACCTGAGGTCGGGAGTTTGAGACCAGCCTGAGGAACATGGAGAAACCCCATCTCCACCAAAAAAAAAAAAAAAAAAAAATGACCCGGGCATGATGGCTCAAGTGTGCAATCCCAGCCACTCGGGAGGCTGTGGCAGGAGAACCAACCAAACCTGGGAGGCGGAGGCCCGGCGAGCCGAGACTGCGCCACTGCACTCCACCCTGGGCAACAAGAGTGAATCTCCGTCTCAAAACAAACAAACAAAAGAAAACAAGCCGGGCGCGGTGGCTCACGCCTGTAATCCCAGCATTTTGAGAGGCTGAGGCTGGCGGATCACGAGGTCAGGAGATCGAGACCATGCTGGCTAACACGGTGAAACCCCGACTCTACTAAAAAAAATACAAAAAAATTAGGCGTAGTGGCGGGCGCCTGTAGTCCCAGCTTCTCGGGAGGCTGAGGCAGGAGAATGGCGTGAACCCGGGAGGCGGAGCTTGCAGTGAGCTGAGATCGTGCCACTGCATTCCAGCCTGGGCAAGAGAGCAAGACGCTGTCTCAAAAAAAAAAAAAAAAAAAAAGAGAGACCAGGTTTCACCGCGTTGCCCAGGCCAGTCTGGAACTCGGGAGGCTGTGGCAGGAGAACCACCCAAACCCAGGAGGCGGAGGCCCGACAAGCCGAGACCTCGCCACTGCACTCCAGCCTGGGCAACAAGAGCGAATCTCCACCTCAAAAAAAAAAAAAAAAAAGGGACCGGGTTTCACCATGTTGCCCAGGCGGATCTGGAACTCCTGGCTCAAACGATCCGCCGCGCTCGGCCGTCCAAATTCTTGGGATCACAAGCGTGAGCCACTACGCCAGGCCGATCTATTCCTTTCTGATTAATAAATTGGGCCGGGAGCGGTGGCTCACACCTGCAATCCCAGCACCCCGGGAGACCAAGGCTGGCGGGTAACCTGAGGTCGGGAGTCTGAGACCAGCCTGACAAACATGGAGAAACCTCGTCTGTAACAACAAAGAACAAAAACAAAAAATACAAAAAAACTACAAAATGAGCCGGGCATTGTGGCTCACGCGTGCAATCCCAGCCACTCCAGAGGCTGAGACTGGAGAACCACCCAAACCCAGAGGCGGAGGCCGCTGGGAGCTGAGACCGGGCCACTGCACTCCAAGCCGGGCAACAAGAGCGAAACTCCACCTCGAAAAAAAAAAGACCGGGTTTCACCATGTTGCCCAGGCCAGTCTGGAACACCTAGGCTCATGAGATCCGCGCGCCCTCGGCCGTCCGAAGTCCTGGGATCACAAGCGTGAGCCACCGTGCCAGGCCGATCTATTCCTTTCCGATTAATAAAGTGGGCCAGGCGTGGTGGATCAACCCTGCAATCCCAGCACCCCGGTGGCTCACGCCTGCAACCCGGGAGGCCGAGGCAGGCAGATAACCTGAGGTCAGGAGTTTGAGACCAGCCTAACCAACAGGGAGAAACCCGTCTGTACCAAAAAATAAAAATTAAAAATATAAAAAAATAAAAAACAAATGAGCCGGGCATGGTGGCTCATGCCTGCAATCCCTGCCACTCCGGAGGCTGAGGGAAAACCACCCAAAATTGGGAGGCGGAGGCCACAGCCAGCAAAAACCATGCCACTGCGCTCCAGCCTGGGCAACAAGAGCGAAACTCCCAGTCTCAAAAAAATTAAAAAGAGACCGGGTTTCACCATGTTGCCCAGGCTGGTCTGGAACTCCTAGGCTCAAGCAATCTTCTGTGCTCAAGCGATCCTCCGCGCTCGGCCGTCCAAAGTCCTGGGATCAAAAGTGTGAGCCACCATGCCAGACCCATCACTCCTGTAATCCCAGCACTTTGGGAGGCCAAGGCAGGTGGACCACCTGAGGTCAGGAGTTTGTGAAGGCTCATCTCTACTAAAAATACAAAAATTAGCCAGGTGTGGTGTACTGTGCCTGTAGTCCCAGCTACTCAGGAGGCTGAGGCAGGGGAATCACTTGAACCCAGGAAGCAGAGGTTGCAGTGAGCCGGGATCCCCTGACTGCACTCCAGCCTGGGTAGCAGAGCTCTGTCTCAATAATAATAATAATAATAATAATAGTAATAATTGTGATTGTATTTAGAAATTATTGAAATAAATTTTTTAGCTACATCAGATCAATTTGGGTTCCTTCTTAAAACGGCCATTTCATCTTTTGGTTCCTGTATTATTTTATTGTATTCCTTAAATTCCTTGGGTTGGGTTTCAACTTTCTCTTGAATCTCGATAATCCTCATTCCTATTCCTATTCTGAATTCTGTGTCTGTCATTTCAGCCATTTCAGCTTGGTTAAGAATATTGCTGGGGAACTAGTGCAGTCATTTGGAGGTAGGAAGACACTCTGGCTTTTTGAATTACCATAGTTTTTACGCTGATTCTTTCCCTTATGTGTGGGGCTGATGTTCCTTTAATCTTTGAAGTTATTTCCTTTGGATGGGTTTTTTTGCTTGTATATGTGATGCCCTTTGGGGTTTGATTGTGATGTAAGGTGGGTTCATTTGACTGATTTTGTTTCTGGATCATTTTAGGGGGGCTAAGGCTTAGCTCAGCACTCCTGGGCTAACTGCTCTAACTCTGGGGCACTGGTTTTGGGCTCCCAGCTTTCTTCTCTGGCCCCTTGATTTAGGAATTTGCCGGACTAGAGGGGCCAAGGTGTTTCTGGTCCACTGACCCCCAACACTCCAATGGGGGGTGTCAGCCAAAGTGTTTCATTGGGGCAATGGCAGTGGGATTTATGCTCACTCATGCATGTCAGCAGCTGCAGCAGCACAGTGGGGTGCATGCACATTGGCTGGGGAGGGGCACTGGTGAGAGCAGGGCAGCAGCATTCCTGCACATGCTCTCACACTGGCAGCAGCATGGCAGGGACAGGGAACTTGTGGGGGCAGGGTTGCTGGTGTCCACGTGTGCATTCATACCAGCAACAGCAGTGGCATGATGCGGGCAGGATTGCCAGTGTCCGTGCATGCGTTTGCACTGGTGATTGCAGTGGTGTGGAAGGGGCAGGGTTGTCAGTGTCTGTGCACATGTTCATACTGGCACTGGTGACATGGCAGAGTGACCACACATCAGCAGGGGTGGAGAGCAGCAGGGTGCACTCATGCCAGTAGCAGTGGCATGGTGTAATACCTGCACACACATGCACCAGCATGGTAGGCAAGATCTGCCCATGCGAGTGTGCTGACAAAGCAGTGGGGGAAGAGGCCGTGGGTACACTGGTGTGCATCAGCAGAGGTCAGTCTGCTGGAGCTTCCAAAAGGTTAGGTGCAGTCCACCAGCAAGGGAGCTGTGATGAGGGTCCCTGGGAAGCACGCTGATTGGGCATCCAAGGCTGTGCTGCAAGCAGGCATGGCCAGGCTGGGACCTCAGGAGAGGCCAGCAGACAAGGGGGCACTCAGATCAGACTGAGCAAGACCAAGGGCAAGACCATCCTGCTCTGTCCAGGTCCAACAGTCATGCTAAGGCTAAAATCTCCCAGAGGAGCATGGCGAACCTTGGGGGATGGATGTCACTGGCCATGCTCCACTGTAGCCATTCCCATGCCAAAACCCTCTGGGCTCTGCACAGGCTGGAGTCCTGCCCCTACTACCTGTCTAGGCAGCTCTTCCTGTCAGCTCAGATGTCTATGGGGGTTGTGGGGTCTCCTGCAGCTAGGATTCTGGAGGTTCATGGTGAGAGTAGGCCACTCCTCACCTGTTCAGTTTACTCCTTCCCCAGGAGATGCTAGGAGCAAGCAACAAGTCCTGGTGCTCAGAAACCCCGTGTAGGGCTCCCAGCATACTCCCCCTTCAGTCCAGCATCTGTGTCCTCCCTCTGTCCACTCTCAACACTTTTGTTCTGAAGAGCTGCTCAGAGTGTGCCAGTCTCTCTCAATATCCCAGTATCTTTGTGGGAGAATATTCCTCCTGGCTGCATCTACTCAGCCATCTTGGCTCCTCCTCAAGAATTTCATAATACAATCAAAAGCATTAGCAGCAGAATAGGCCAAGCTAAAGAAAGAATTACAGAGCATGATATGGTTTGGATCTGTGTCCTTGAATCTCATGTTGAATCGTAATCCCTAATGTTGGAGGTGGGTCCTGATGGGAAGGTGATTTGATCATGGGAGCACTTTCTCATGAATGGTTTAGCACCATCTATCTTGGTACTGTGCTCTCAATAGTAAGTGAATTCTCATAAACTCTGGTTAAAAGTGTATAGCACCGCTCCCCTCACTGTCTCTTGCTCCTACTCTGGCCATGTGAAGTACATGCTCTACCTCTGCCTTCCGCCATGAATGGAAGCTTCCTGAGGGCTTCCCAGAAGCCAAGCAGATGCCAGCATCATGCTTCCTGTACAGCCTGTGGAACTGTGAGCCAATTAAACCTCTTTTCTTCATAAATTACCCAGTCTCAGATATTTCTTTATAGCAATGCATGAATGGACTAATACAGAAAATTGATACCTAGAAGTGGAACATTGCTACAAAGATACCTGAAAATGTGGAAGCAGCTCTGGAACTGGGTAATGGGCAGAGGTTAGGAGAGTGTGGAGGGCACAGAAGAAGAGAGGAAGATGAGGGAAAGTTTGGAACTTCCTAGAGACTGGTTGAATGGTTGTGACCAAAATGCTCATAATGATATGGACAGTGAAGTCCAGTCTGATGAGGTCTCAGATGGAAATGAGGAAGTTATTGGGAAATGGAGCAAAGGTCACACTTGTGACACCATAGCAAAGAACATGACTGCATTGTGTCCATACCCCAAGGATTCATGGAAGGACAAACAAGAGTGATGACCTAGGGTATCTGTCGAAAGAAATTTTTAAGCAGCAAAGTGTTCAAGAAGTGGCATGGCTGGGTTTTTTTGTTTGTTTTTTGTTTTGTTTTGTTTTGTTTTGGGGGGGGCGTTGAGACAGAGTCTCACTCTGTCACCCAGGCTGGAATGCAGTGACACCATCTCAGCTCCCTGCAACCTCCGCCTCCTGGATTCAAGTGATTCTCTGACCTTAGCCTCCTGAGTAGCTGGGACTGCAGGTGCACATCACCAGGCCTGGCTAATTTTTGTATTTTTAGTAGTGATGAGTTTTCGCTATGTTGGCCAGGCTGGCCTTGAACTCCTGGCCTCAAGTGATCTGCCCACCTTGGCCTCCCAAAGTGCTGGGATTACAGGCATGAGCCACTGTGCCCAGTCAGCAGGGCTGCTTTTTAACAGCCTATGACCAGATTTGACAGTAAGAGAATGACTTAAAGGTGGAATTTATAATTAAAAAGGAAATAAACCATTAAAATTTGGAAAATTTCCAGCCTTGCTATGTGGTAGGAAAGGAAAGAGCATTTTCAGACAAGGAATTCAAGGGGGCAGTGGAGCAATCTCTTGCTAGAGACATAGGCAGAGACAAAAGGGAGCCAGGTGCTAATAGTCAAGACAATGCAGGAAAGCCCTAGAGGCATTTTAGAAATCTTCAAGGACACCTCTCTCATCACAGGCCCAGAGGTCTAGGGGGACAGTATGTTTTTGGGTGCCAGGCCCCAGGTGCCACAGCTTTGTGGCACCTTGGAATGCTGCTCCCATATCCAAGCCATTCTGGCTGTAGCCATAGCCCAAATAGCCTCAAGTACAGCTTGGGCTGCTGCTCCAAAGGGTGAAAGTCATAAGCCTTGGCAGTTTCCACATGTGTTAAGTCTGCAAAATGCAAGTGTGGGGGAGGCTTGGAAGCTTCCACCTAGGTGTCAGAGGATGTGCCAGGAATCCAGGGTGCCCAGGCAGAAGGCTGCTGCAGGGCAGAACCCCCAAAGAGAGACTCTACTCAGGCAATCCTGAGTGGATAGTGCGGTTGAGGGCCCCACAAAAAAAAGCCTATATTAGGGCAATGGCTAATGGAGCTGTGGGAACAGGGATGCCACCTTCCAGACCCAAGAACAGTAGAGCCACCAGCAGTGTGCACCCTCAGCCTGGAAAAGCCAAAGCCATTGAACTCCAACCTGTGAGAGTAGCCAGGTGGGCTGCACCCAGCAAAGCCATGGGGGTGGGAATGCCCAAGGCCTTGGGGGGACCACCTCTTGCACCATGGTGCCCAGGATACAGTACATGGACCCAAATATTATTTTGGAGCTTAAAGGTTTAATGCCTTCGCCAATAGGTTTCAGTCTTGCATGGCCAATTTCAGTCTTGCAATAACCCTTTCTTTTGGCCAATTTCTCACGTTTGAAATAAGAACGCTTACCCAGTATATGTCTTACCATTCTATCTTAAAAGCAAACAACTTGTTTTTAGTTGTACAGGCTTACAGGTGTAAAAACTTGACCTTGAGTCTCAAATCAGACTTTAGACTTTGGACTTATGAGTTGATGATTGGAACAAGTTAAGCCTTTGGGGACTATTAGGAAAGGGTGATTATATTTTGCAATGTGAGAAGTACATATGATTTGGACGGTCTGAGGCGAAATGATAAAGTTTGGATATTCATCCCCTCCAAATATCATGTTGAAATTTGTACCCAATGTGGAGGTGGGACCTAATAGGAGGTATTTGTGTCATGAGGACAAACCCCTCATGAATGTTTGATGCCATCCTCTCTGTAATGAGTGAATTCTCACTCTTAATTCCTATGAGAACTGAATGTTTAAAAGAGCCTGGAACTCCCCTCCTTGCTCTCTTGCTTCTGCGGTCTCATCATGTGATTCTGCACACACGGCACCCCTTCACCTTCCACCAGGGGTGAAAGCCCCCCAGGAGACTCACCAGATGCAGATGCAGGGGACTTGCATCTCAGGCAAGCTGCACAACTGTAAGCTAAATAAACCTCTTTTCTTTATCAATTACCCAGCCTCAGGTATTCCTTTAGAGCAAAACAAAAACAGACTCAGATAGAAAATACATAAAAAGAAATTAAGAACAAATGTGAGAAATTTCATTCCAATAGCATGTTGTCAACACTAGATTACAGAGTGCTCTACGTGTTAACCATTTCCATTCTCTGAAAGTAATGAGCACATGATGCACCTCTGAAAAAAATTGTTTAGATTTACCTTTTTTTCTTTTTTTTTTTGAGATGAGTCTCACTCAGTTGTCCAGGCTGGACTGCAGTGGTGCAATCTCAGCTCACTGCAGCCTCCACTTCCTGGGTTCAAGCAATTCTCCTTCCTCACCCTCCAGAGTAGCTGGGACTACAGGTATGCACCACCACACCCAGCTACTTTTTGTATTTTTAGTAGAGACAGAGTTTCACCATGTTGGCCAGGCTGGTCTCGAACTCCTTGCCTCAAGCGATCCACCCACCTCAGCCTTCCAAAGTGCTGTAATTACTGGCATGAGCCACCGTGCCTGGCCTAGATTTACCTTTTAAATGTGCTTATGTAAATACCTCATAATAACCTCTTTGGAACAATAATAAGAAATATCATTCAAGAGCATGTTGTCAACACTAAATTTCAGAATTCTCTGAAATAATAATAAATAATTCCACTCTCTGAAACAAAAAAAAAACATATGGTGCATCTCTAAAGAAACTTGTTTCGATTTACCTTAAATATTTTATGTAAACACTTTATAATAAGCCATAGGAACAAATGTAAGAATTATCATCAATAGCATGTTAATCAACAGTAGATCACAGAGTTCTTTAAGTGCTAAACATTCTCATTCTCTGAAAGAAAACAGCACATGATGTACTTCGCCAAAGCTTGCTTAGATTTACCTTTTTTTGTTTTGTTTTTGTTTTTTGTTTGTTTTTTGAGACATAGTCTCGCTCTGTCACCCAGGCTTGAGTGCAGTGGTGCAATCGTGGCTCACTGCAGCCTCAACCTCCTGGGCTCAGGTGATCCTCTCACCTCAGCCTCCTGAATAGCTGGAATTACAGGCACATGCCACCATGCCTGGATAATTTTTTTGCATTTTTTGTAGAGGTGGGATTTTGCCATGTTGTCCATGTTTGAACTCCTGGGCTCAAGCAGTCCACCCACCTTGGCCTCCCAATGTGCTGGGATTACAGGCATGAGCCACCATGCCCAGCCAGACTTACCTTTTAAACACGCCTTGTAATACCTCATAATAAATCCTTAGGAACAAACGTAAAAAAGAAAATCATTCATTAGCATGTTGTCAAAAAGAGACTTTTAAATTTTATATGTTATAAACAATTCCATTCTCTGAAACAAAACAGCACATGACGCATCTCTGAAGAAGCTTGCTTATATTTATATTTTAAGTATTTATATGTAAACACCTCATAATAACTCCTTTGGAACAAATAAGAAATATTATTTAACAGCATGTTATCAAAATTAAATTTCAGGCCAGGCGCGGTGGCTCAGGCCTGTAATCCCAGCACTTTGGGAGACCGAGGAAGGTGGATCACTTGATCCCAGGAGTTCAAGACTAGCCTGGGCAATGTAGCAAGACCTCAACTCTACTAAAAATAAAAAATAAAATATAAAAACATTAGCCCAATGTGGTGGTACATGTCTATGATCCCAGCTACATGGGAGGCTGAGCTGGGAGCCTGGGAGGCAGGCGCTACAGTAAGCCAAGATAGTGCCACTGTAATTCAGTCTGGGTGACAGAGTAAGACTTTGCCAAAAAAAAAAAAAAAAAACCACTAAATTTCAGATATCTCTTTGTGATAAATAGTTCATTTCCTGAAAGAAACCAGCCCATGGTGCCTTTCTGCCATATACCTTTTAAATGTGTATATGTTAACACCTCATTATAAGCCCTCAGGAAAAGTATTTCAGTGTAAGAAATATCTTTCAATAGAATGTTGCCAACACTACATTACAGAGTTCTCTATGTAATAAAGACTTTCATATTCTGAAAAAAAAATAGCATGTAATGCATCCCTAAATAAGTTTACTTAGATTTACCTTTTAAACATGTATATGTAAATTTGTAATAACTCATTTGGAACAAAGATAAGAAATATCATTCAGTAGCATGTTATTAACACTATATTTAAGAGCTCTTTGGCTGGGCGCAGTGGCTGTAATCCCAGCACTTTGGGAGGCTGAAGTAAGCAGATCACTTGAGGTCAGGAGTTCGAGACCAGCTTGGCCTACATGGTGAAGCCCCATCTCTATTAAAAATATAAAAATTAGCCGGGCATGGTGGTGCGTGCCTGTAATCCCAGCTACTCAGGAGGCTGAGGCAGGAGAATCACTTGAATCCGGGGGGCAGAGGTTGCAGTGAGCCGAGATCGCGCCATTGCACTCCAGCCTGGGTGACAGGATGAGACACCGTCTCAGAAAAAAAAAAGAGTTTTTTATATGTTAATCAATTTAATTCTCTGAACAAAAGCAGCATAATGCATTTTTGGAGAAACTCATTTATATTTCCCTTTAAACAAGTATATGTAAATACCTCCCAGTAACTTCTGTGGAGCAAGGATCACAAACACCATAAAATAGCATGTTGTCAACACTAGATTCCCAGTTCTCTGTGTAATAAATACTTCTCTGGGGGAAAAAATAAATTATGCATCTTTGAAGAAGCTTCCTTAGATTTAGCTTTTAAATGCACATATGTAAACACCTCACAATAACATTTTCAGAATAATGATAATATCATTCAAGAACATGTTGTTGAGACTACATTTCAGAGTTGTCCATGTAATACCAAATCTGTTCTCTAAAACAAAACAGGGCACAATACATCTCTGATGAAGTTTGCTTAGCTTACCGTTTAAACATGTATACATAAACACCACTTAATAAGCCTGTAGCAACTCAAATGAGAAATATTATTCAATAACATGTTTCAACACTAGACTACATAGTCTTTATGTGTTAAGCAATTCCATTCTCTGATAGAAAACACCATAGGATGCATCTCTTAAGCAGCTTGGTTAAATTTACATTTTAAATGAGTATATGTAAATACCTTACAATAACCTCTTATTGTAGAAACAAAGGTGTGATATATCACTCAATAGCATGTTGTTAACACTAGATTACAGAGTTTTTAGCAATTAAGCACTTTCATTCTCTGAAAGAAAACTGCAAATGAGCAACTCTGAAGAAGGCTGCTTAGATTTGCCTCCCAAACAAGCGTTTGTAATCATTTCATTATAAGATTTAGGGAACAAATACTAGAAATATCATTCAATAGCATGTTCCCAACACTAGGTTACAGAGTTCTGTATTTGTTAAACAGTTCCAATTTCTGAAAGAAAACAGCACAAAATGCCTCTCTAAAGAAGCTTGTGAAGATTTACCTCTTAACCGTGTTTATGTAAACCCATCATCATAAGCCATTGTGAACAAAGGTAAGAACTATCATTCAATAGCATTTTCTCCACACTAGATTACAGAATTCTGTATTTGTTAAACAGTTCCAATTTCTGAAAGAATATACCACATAATCCATCTCTCTCTTTTTTTTTTTTTTTTTTTTTGAGATGTAGTCTCACTCTGTTGCCCAGGCTGGAGTGCAGTGGCGTGATCTCTGCTCACTGCAAGCTCCGCCTCCCAGGTTCACGCCATTCTCCTGCCTCAGCCTCCTGAGTAGCTGCGACTACAGGCGCCCGCCACCACGCCCGGCTAATTTTTTTGTATTTTTAGTAGAGACAGGGTTTCACCGTGTTAGCCAGGATGGTCTCGATCTCCTGACCTTGTGATCCACCCGCCTTGGCCTCCCAAAGTGCTGGGATTACAGGCGTGAGCCACCACACCCGGCCCACATAATCCATCTCTAAAGAAGCTTGCTTACATTTACCTTTTAAACAAGTATATGTAAAGTTGGCATAACAAGCTCTTATGAACAAAAGTAAGATAGTGTTGCTATTGAACAATGTTTAACAATATTAAATTCTCAACATTAGATTGGAGTTCTCTGTTAAAAGTTCCATTTTCTGAAAGAAAACAGCAAATAATGCATTTCTGAAGAAGCTTGCTTAGAGGAGGGAGGTGGAACCAGGTGGTAAATGGAACCCTCCAGTTGCTATCTCCCCAACAGGGACACCAAATTCAACAACTATCTACCCAAGAAAGCAACTTCGTAAGAATCAAAAAATTAAATGAGTGACAACAGTACCTGGTTTGAACATAATATAACATAAAGGCACATTGAAGAGGGTAGGAAGGACAATGTTACATTGCCTACACCACTACCACCACCAACAACCCCAGGCATCACAGTATGGAGAAACAATCTGTGTGTTTGTGGGAGACAGAGTGAAATGAGCATGGAACTTCACATTGGAAATCAGTGCTTTTCTGTCGCAATGGAGCACAACACTGGACAGAAACCCCTGATGCCCACAGAGGGAACACTTAAACCAGCCCCAGGCCAGAGAGGAATCCTCCACTCCAATAGGAGGAACCCAAGTCCCAGCTTGCTTCACCACAGCCTGGCTAAAATGGCCTGGGTACTGAGTAAATTTGAGTGACTGCCAGCCCACAGTGACTGCATCCTTGGCCAAGCAGATGTGCTGCACTCATTTCAGAGGCTGTGAACTTGTGGTGTGACCCAGCATAACACCAGCTACAGCAGCCATGGGAATGCTCGCATAACCCCTTGCCCAACTGCAGGCAGTTTGTCATGGAGAGACTCCTTCATCTTGGGGGAAGGAGAGGGAAGAGTAAAGAAGACTGTGCCTTCCAAGTGGGTACTGACAGAGCAGGAGCATTGCCATCTTGGACAAGCTCCTGATTCTAATTTTTATTCTGATTTCTACCTTGGTAAAAAACTGCCTCAGTCCAAAGGGCATCAGCCTAATGGCTAAGGTCAGCACGACCATAAACCACAAATAACATCTCCAACCAGAAACATTCCAAACTCCTCCCCGACCAGAGACATGCTAGCCCCAAGATAACCCCCCTCCGCCAGGAAGATGCCAGCCTCGAGATAACCCCCCTCTGGCCGGAAAGATGTCTGCCCCAAGATAATTTGATGAGGAATTCAAATAACTGTCTTGAGGAAGCTCAATGAATTTCAAGATAACACAAAGAAGAAACTTAGAATTCTATCAAAAAAAGAGAAATGAAAATAATTTTTAAAAAATCAAATTCCAGAGACAAGTTTTTTTGTTTGTTGTTTTGTTGTTGTTGTTGTTGTTTTCTTTGAGACAGAGTCCCACTCTGTCACCCAGGCCGGAGTGCAGTGGTATGATCCCAGAGACTAAAAATTCAATTAGCAAACTGAAAAATGCATCAGAATGCCTCCAGAATTGATCAAGCAAAGGAATAAATTATTGAGCTCAAAGATAGGCTATTTGAAAATACACAGAGCAGAAAATAAAAGAATAAAGTATGCTTACTCTTATATTTGCCCTTTTAAGGCTATCTAGAAAACAGCCTTAAAAGGACAAATATAAGAGTTATTAACCTTAAAGAGGATGGAGAAAGAGATTTGGGTAGAAGGTTTATTCAGGCAAATAACATGTAACTTTTCAAACCTAGAAAAAGATAGTAATATCCACATAGAAGAAGGTTAAAAAAAAAAAGCACACACCAAAAAGATTCAAGCTAAATAAGACTCCCTCAAGGCCTATAATAATCAAACTCTCAAAGGTCAAGGACAAAAAAAGGATCCTAAAAACAGTAACAGAAAGAAGCAAATAACATATAAAGAAGCTCCAATGTATCTGGTTGTAGACTGCTCAGTGGAAACTGTACAAGCCCGGAGAGAGTGGAATGACATATACAAAGTCCTGAGTGGAACAACTTCTAACATAAAATACTGTATCCAACGAAGTTATCCTTCAAACACCAAGGAGAAATAAAAGCTTTTCCAGACAAACAAAAGCTAAGGAAATTCATCAATGCTAGATCAATTTTACAAGAAATGCTAAAGGTACTTCATTCTGAAAGTAAAGGATGCTAATATGCAACAAGAAATCATCAGAAAGAACAAAACCTGCTGATGAAAGTGAGTATACCTAATACTCTAATATTGTAATTGGAGAGTATAAATCACTCATGTCACGTTGGGAGGCTGAGGTGGGTGAATCACTTGAACTCAGGAGTTCAAGACCAGCTGGCCAACATGGCAAAACCCCATCTTTACTAAAAATACAAAAAGTAGCTGGGTATGGTGGTGCGTGCCTGTAATCCCAGCTACTCAGGTGCCTGAGGCACAAGATCACTTGAATCCTGGAGGTGGAGGTTGCAGTGAATCAAGATCACACCACTGTGCTCCAACCTGGATGACAAAGCCAGACTCTGTCTCAGAAAAAAAAAAAAATCACTTGGCCAGGCGTGGTGGCTCACACATGTAATCCCAACACTTTGGGAGGCCGAAGCGGGTGGATCACAAGGTCAGGAGATCGAGACCATCCTGGCTAACACGGTGAAACCCTGTCTCTACTAAAAATACAAAAAATTATCCGAGCATGGTGGTGGGGACCTGTAGTCCCAGCTACTCGGGAGGCTGAGGCAGGAGAATGGTGTGAACCCGGGAGGCGGAGCTGGCAGTGAGCCGAGATTGCACCACTGCATTCCAGCCTGGGTGACAGAGCAAGACTCTGTCTCAAAAAAAAAAAAAAAATCACTCATATCGTTAGTGTGAAGACTAAAAGACAAACCCATCAAAAATAATCATAAGTAAAACAATTGTGAAGATACAAAAAATATAAAAATAGAAACAAGAAAAAGTCAACAAGCAGCAGTGACAAAGTTAATTTTTCTTTCTTTTTTCTTTTCTATGTGATCAGAGTTGAGTTGTCATCAGTTTAAAAGAACTGATGATGTTTTTTGCAAACCTCATGGTAATCACCAAGGAAAAACCTATAATAGATACACAAAAATTAAAAAGCAAGAAATCAAAATATGCTACCAGAGAATATCACTTCTACAAAAAGGAAGACCAGGAGAAAGGAAGGACTAATAAAACAACCAGAAAACAAGTAACAAAATGGCATTAATAACCTATCAATAATAACATTGAATTTAAATAGGCTATATTCTCCAATAAAAAGACGTAGAGTGGCTGAATGTATTTTAAAAACAAGACTCACTATATGTTGCCTATAAGAAACTCATTTCGGCTGGGCACAATGGCTCACGCCTGTAATCCCAGCACTTTTGGGAGGCTGAGGCAGGCAGATCACTTGAGTTCAGGAGTTCAAGACCACCCTGGCCAACATGGTGAAACTGCGTCTCTACTAAAAATACAAAAAAATTAGCCATGAGTGGTGCAGGTGCCTGTAATCCCAGCTACTTGGGAGACTGAGGCAGGAGAATCGCTTGAACCCAGGAAGTGGAGGTTGTAGTGAGCCAAGACCGTGTCATTACACTCCAGCCTGGGCAATGAGAAAGAAATTCTGTCAAAAAAAAAAAAAAAAGGAAAGAAACTCACTTCACCCATAAAGATACACACAGACTGAAAAGGAAGGGATGAAAATAGATATTCCATGCAAATGGAAACAAAAAAGCAAGAGTCACTGTATTTATATCAGATAAAGTTTCTGATATAAGACGTTTCAAGACAAAACAGTAAAAAAAAAAGACAAAAACGGTTATTATATGAGGATGAAGTGGTTAACTCAGCAAGAGGATATAACAATGGTAAACATATATGGGCCCAACACTGGAGCAGCCAGATGTATAAAGCAAATATTATTACAGCTAAAGAGAGAGATAGTCCTCAGTACCATAATAGCTGGAGACTTCAACAACCTACTTTCAGCACTGGACAGAACTTCCAGGCAGAAAATCAACATAGAAACATCTGACTTAATCTGCGCTAGAGACCAAATGGATCTAACAGATATTTACAGAACATTTCATCTAACAGCTGCAGAATACACATTCTTATTAGCACATGGAACATTCTCCAGAACAGACCATACCTTAGGCCACAAAAAAAGTCTCAGAAAATTTGAAAAAATCAAAATTATATCAGTTGTCTTCTGTGACCACAATAGAATAAAACTAGAAATCAACAACAAGAGGAACTTGGGAAACTATTCAAATACATAGAAATTAAATAACATGCTCCTGAATACCATTGCTCAATGAAGCAACTAAGACAGAAATTTTAAAGTTTCTTGAAACTGTAAAAAATTGAAATACAACGTACCAAAACCTATGAAGTATATCAAAAGCAGTACTAAGAAGGAAGCTTATACTAATAAATGCCTATGTTAGAAGAGTAAAGGCTAGGCACAGTGGCTCATGCCTGTAATCCCAGCACTTCGGGAAGCCAAAGCAGGTGGATTGCTTGAGCTCAGGAGTTTGAGACAAGCCTGAGCAACATGATGAAACCCCGTTTCTACCAAAAATACAAAAAAAAAAAAAAAAAAAAAAAAAAGCTGAGTGTGGTGGCACATGCCTAGAGTCCCAACTACGCAGGAGGCTGAGGTGGGAGGATGGCATGAGCTTGGGAGGCAGAGGTTGCAGTAAGCCGAGATCACGCCACTACACTCCAGCCTGAGTGACAGAGCCAGACCCTGTCTCAAAAAAAAAAAAAAAAGAGAGAGAGAGAGTAAAAAGACTTCAGACAACCAAATGATGCACCACCTTAAAGAATTAGAAAAGCAATAGCAAATCAAACCTAAAATTAAGAGAAGACAATAAATAATAAAGATCAGAGCAGAAATCAAATTGAAACAAAAAATACAAAAGATCACAAAACAAAAAGTCGGTTTTTGGAAAGATAAACAAAATTGACAAACTCTTTTGACAGACTAAGAAAAAAGAGAAGACTCAAATAAATTAAATCAGAGAGATGACATTACAACTGATATCACTGAAATTCAAAATATCTTTAGAGACTACTATGAGCAACTATTATACATGCCAAAAAATTGGAAAAGGCAGAGGAAATTGATAAATTCCTAGACACATACCACCTACCAGGATTTAAACATGAAGAAATGGAAAGCATGAATACACCAATAACATACAGTGAGATAGGGGCAGTGCTGAAAAGTCTCCCATCAAAGAAAAGCTAAGTACCTCATGGCTTCACTGCTGAATTTGCCAAATATCTAAAGAACAACTAATACCAATTCTACTCAAACTACCCCAAAAAATATAAAAGAAGGAAATACACCTAAACTCATTCTACAAGTCCAGCATTATCCTGATACAAAAACCAGACAAACAAAAAAGAAAACTACAGGCCAATATTTCTGATGAATGTAGATACAAAAATCCTCAGTGAAATACTAGCATCCCAAATTCAAGAACACATTAAAAAGATCATTCATTTTGATCAAGTGGGATGCATCCCCGGGATGCAAAGATGGTTCAGCATATGCAAATCAATAAACGTGGCACAATGCATCAAAAGAATGCAGGACAAAAACCATAAATTATTTCAATAGATGCTTTTAAACATTCAATAAAATTCCACATCCTGTCATGAGAAAAACCCTGAACAAACTGTGTATAGGAAGAACATAATAAATGTCATATAAAATAAACTCACAGCTAGTATTATACTAAATGGGAAAAAAAACCGAAAGCCTTTTCTCTGATCTGGAACAAAACAAGGATACTCATTTTCCCCACTTATTCAACATAGTACTCAAAGTTTTAACCAGAGCAATTAGACAACAGAAAGAAACAAACAGCATGAATAATGGAAAGTCAAATTGTCATTGTTAGTAGATGATGTGACCTTATATTTAAACAAACCTAAAGATTCTTCCAAACAACTGTCAGAATTCATAAATGAATTCAGTAAAGTTCCAGGATACGGCCGGGCGCGGTGGCTCATGCCTGTAATCCCAGCATTTTCGGAGGCTGAGGTGGATGGATCACTAGAGGTAAGGAGTAGAGACCAGCCTTGCCAACATGGCGAAACCCCGTCTCTACTAAAAATTCAAAAATTAGGGTGGCGTGGTGGTACACACCAGGTGTGGTTATGAAGTCCCCCAGCACCTATGGCCAGGTGGGGTTGTGATGGCCTCCAGCACCTCTGGCCAGGTGGGGTTATGAACTCCCCCAGCACCTCTGGCCAGGTGGGGTTATGATGTCCCCGAGCACCACTGGCCAGGTGCGGTTATGATATCCCCCAGCACCTCTGGCCAGGTGCAGTTATGAAGTCCCCCAGCACCTCTGGCCAGGCGCGGTTATGAAGTCCCCCCGGCACCTATGGCCAGGCGTGGTTATGAAGTCCCCCCGGCACCTCTGGCCAGGCGTGGTTATGAAGTCCCCCCGGCACCTCTGGCCAGGTGGGGTTATGATGGCCCCCCCCGGCACCTCCGGCCAGGTGGGGTTATGATGGCCCCCCCGGGACCTCTGGCCAGGTGTGGTTATGAAGTCCCCAAGCACCTCTGGCCAGGTGGGGTTATGATGTCCCCCAGCACCTCTGGCCAGGTGTGGTTATGATGTCCCCCAGCACCTCTGGCCAGGTGGGGTTATGATGTCCCCCAGCACCTCTGGCCAGGTGTGGTTATGAAGTCCGCCCAGCACCTCTGGCCAGGTGTGGTTATGAAGTCCTCCTGGCACCTCTGGACAGGTGTGGTTATGAAGTCCTCCGGGCACCTCTGGCCAGGTGTGTTTATGAAGTCCTCCTGGCACCTCTGGCCAGGTGTGGTTATGATGTCCCCCCGGCACCTCTGCCCAGGTGTGGTTATGATGTCCCACCGGCACCTCTGGCCAGGTGTAGTTATGAAGTCCCCTGGCACCTCTGGCCAGGTGGGGTTATGAAGTCCCACCGGCACCTCTGGCCAGGTGTGGTTATGATGTCCCCCCGGCACCTCTGGCCAGGTGTGGTTATGAAGTCCCCTCCCAGCACCTCTGGCCAGGTGGGGATATAATACCCACCCCCAGCACCTCTGGCCAGGTGTGGTTATGATGTCCCCCCGGCACCTCTGGCCAGGTGTGGTTATGAAGTCCTCCGGGCACCTCTGGCCAGGTGTGGTTATGATGTCCCCCCGGCACCTCTGGCCAGGTGTGGTTATGATGTCCCCCCGGCACCTCTGGCCAGGTGTGGTTATGATGTCCCCCCAGCACCTCTGGCCAGGTGGGGTTATGAAGTACCCCCGGCACCTCTGGCCAGGTAGGGTTATGAAGTCCCACTGGCACCTCTGGCCAGGTGTGGTTATGATGTCCCCCCGGCAAGTCTGGCCAGGTGTGGTTATGAAGTCCCCCCACCAGCACCTCTGGCCAGGTGGGGATATAATACCCACCCCCAGCACCTCTGGCCAGGTGAGGTTATGATGTCCCCGCAGCACCTCTGGCCAGGTGTGGTTATGAAGTCCTCCCGGCACCTCTGGCCAGGTGGGGTTATGAAGTCCCCCCGGCACCTCTGGCCAGGTGACATTTATGAAGTCACCCCCAGCACCTCTGCTCAGGTGGGGTTATGAAGTTCCCCCCGCCCCCCAGCACCTCCGGCCGGGTGGGGTTATTATGGCCCCCCAGCATCTCTGGCCAGGTGGGATTATGATATCCCCTAGCACCTCTGGCCAGGTGAGGTTATGATGTCCCCCCAGCACCTCTGGCCAGGTGGGGTTATGAAATCCCCCGCAGCACCTCTGGCCAGGTGACATTTATGAAGTCACCCCCAGCACCTCTGGCCAGGTGGGGTTAAGAAGTTCCCCCCGCCCCCCAGCACCTCTGGCCAGGTGGGGTTATGATGGCCCCCCAGGACCTCCGGCCAGATTGGGTTATGATGGCCCCACAGCACCTCTGGCCAGGTGGGATTATGATACCCCCCAGCACCTCTGGCCAGGTGGGGTTATAATACACCCCCACAGCACCTCTAGCCAGGTGAGGTTATGATGTCCCCCCAGCACCTCTGGCCAGGTGGGGTTATGAAATCTCCCCCAGCACCTATGGCCAGCTGTGGTTATGAAATCCCCCCCAGCACCTCTGGCCAGGTGACATTTATGAAGTCACCACCAGCACCTCTGGCCAGGTGGGGTTATGAAGTTCCCCCCGCCTCCCAGCACCTCCGGCCAGGTGGGGTTATGATGTCCCCCCAACATCTCTGGCCAGGTGGGATTATGATATCCCCCTAGCACCTCTGGCCAGGTGAGGTTAAGATGTCCCCCCAGCACCTCTGGCCAGGTTAGGTTATGAAATCCCCCCAGCACCTCTGGCCAGGTGACATTTATGAAGTCACCCCCAGCACCTCTGGCCGGGTGGGGTTATGAAGTTCCCCCCGCCCCCCAGCACCTCCGGCCAGCTGGGGTTATGATGGCCCCACAGCACCACTGGCTAGGTGGGGTTATGATGTCCCCCCAGCATCTCTGGCCAGGTGGGATTATGATACCCCCCAGCACCTCTGGCCAGGTGAGGTTATGATATCCCCCCAGCACCTCTGGCCAGGTGGGGTTATGAAATCTCCCCCAGCACCTCTGGCCAGGTGACATTTATGAAGTCACACCCAGCACCTCTGGCCAGGTGGGGTTAAGAAGTTCCCCCCAACCCCCAGCACCTCCGGCCAGCTGGGGTTATGATGGCCCCACAGCACCTCTGGCCAGGTGGGGTTATGATGTCCCCCCAGCATCTCTGGCCAGGTCAGATTATGATACCCCCCAGCACC
This sequence comes from Homo sapiens, assembly GCF_000001405.40. Lineage (NCBI taxonomy): Eukaryota > Metazoa > Chordata > Mammalia > Primates > Hominidae > Homo > Homo sapiens. The sequence continues at coordinate 17,259 of NT_187659.1, read as the reverse complement.
TCTGGCCAGGTGAGGTTATGATGTCCCCCCAGCACCCCTGGCCAGGTGGGGTTATGAAATCCCCCCAAGCACCTCTGGCCAGGTGACATTTATGAAGTCAACCCCAGCACCTCTGGCCAGGTGGGGTTATGATGGCCCCACAGCACCTCTGGCCAGGTGGGGTTATGATGGCCCCCCAGCATCTCTGGCCAGGTGGGATTATGATACCCCCTACCACCTCTGGCCAGGTGAGGTTATGATGTCCCCCCAGCACCTCTGGCCAGGTGGGGTTATGAAATCTCCCCCAGCACCTATGGCCAGCTGTGGTTATGAAATCCCCCCCAGCACCACTGGCCAGGTGACATTTATGAAGTCACCACCAGCACCTCTGGCCAGGTGGGGTTATGAATTTCCCCCCGCCTCCCAGCACCTCCGGCCAGGTGGGGTTATGATGTCCCCCCAGCATCTCTGGCCAGGTGGGATTGTGATATCCCCCTAGCGCCTCTGGCCAGGTGAGGTTAAGATGTCCCCCCAGCACCTCTGGCCAGGTTAGGTTATGAAATCCCCCCAGCACCTCTGGCCAGGTGACATTTAGGAAGTCACCCCCAGCACCTCTGGCCGGGTGGGGTTATGAAGTTCCCCCCGCCCCCCAGCACCTCCGGCCAGCTGGGGTTATGATGGCCACACAGCACCTCTGGCCAGGTGGGGTTATGATGTCGCCCCAGCATCTCTGGCCAGGTCAGATTATGATACCCCCCAGCACCTCTGGCCAGGTGAGGTTATGATGTCCCCCCAGCACCTCTGGTCAGGTGGGGTTATGAAATCCCCCCCAGCACCTCTGGCCAGGTGACATTTATGAAGTCACCCCCAGCACCTCTGGCCAGGTGGGGTTAAGAAGTTCCCCCAGCCCCCAGCACCTCCGGCCAGCTGGGGTTATGATGACCCCACAGCACCTCTGGCCAGGTGGGGTTATGATGTCCCCCCAGCATCTCTGGCCAGGTCAGATTATGATACCCCCCAGCACCTCTGGCCAGGTGAGGTTATGATGTCCCCCCAGCACCCCTGGCCAGGTGGGGTTATGAAATCCCCCCCAGCACCTCTGGCCAGGTGACATTTATGAAGTCACCTCCAGCACCTCTGGCCGGGTGGGGTTATGATGGCCCCACAGCACCTCTGGCCAGGTGGAGTTATGATGGCCCCCCAGCATCTCTGGCCAGGTGGGATTATGATACCCCCTAGCACCTCTGGCCAGGTGAGGTTATGATGTCCCCCCAGCACCTCTGGCCAGGTGGGGTTATGAAATCCCCCGAAGCACCTCTGGCCAGGTGACATTTATGAAGTCACCCCCAGCACCTCTGGCCAGGTGGGGTTATGAAGTTCCCCCCGCCCCTCGGCACCTCCGGCCAGGTGGGGTTATGATGTCCCCCCAGCATCTCTGGCCAGGTGGGATTATGATACCCCCCAGCACCTCTGGCCAGGTGAAGTTATGATGTCCCCTCAGCACCTCTGGCCAGGTGGGGTTATGAAGTCCTCCTGGCACTTCTGGCCGGGTGTGGTTATGAAGTCCCCCCCAGCACCTCTGGCCAGGTGGGGTTATGAAATCCCCTCCAGCACCTCTGGCCAGGTGACATTTATGAAGTTACCCCCAGCACCTCTGGCCGGGTGGGGTTACGAAATTCCCCCTGCCCCCAGCACCTCCGGCCAGCTGGGGTTATGATGGCCCCACAGCACCTCTGGCCAGGTGGGGTTATGATGTACCCCCAGCATCTCTGGCCAGGTGGGATTATGATACCCCCCAGCACCTCTGGCCAGGTGGGGTTATGAAGTCCTCCCGGCACCTCTGGCCAGGTGTGGTTATGAAATCCCCCGCAGCACCTCTGGCCAGGTGTGGTTATGAAGTCCCCCGCAGCACCTCTGGCCAGGTGGGGTTATGAAGTTCCCCCCGCCCCCCAGCACCTGCGGCCAAGTGGGGTTATGATGGCCCCACAGCACCTCTGGCGAGGTGGGATTATGATGTCCCCCAGCACCTCTGGCCAGGTGGGGTTATGATGTCCCCCCTGGCACCTCTGGCCAGGTGGGGTTATGATGTCCCCCAGCACCTCTGGCCAGGTGTGGTTATGAAGTCCGCCCGGCACCTCTAGCCAGGTGTGGTTATGAAGTCCTCCCGGCACCTCTGGCCAGGTGGGATTATGACTCCCCCAGCACCTCTGGCCAGGTGGGGTTATAATACCCCCCCACAGCACCTCTGGCCAGGTGAGGTTATGATGTCCCCCCAGCACCTCTGGCCAGGTGTGGTTATGAAGTCCTCCTGGCACCTCTGGCCAGGTGTGATTATGAAGTCCCACTAGCACCTCTGGCCAGGTGGGGTTATGAAATCTCCCCCAGCACCTCTGGCCAACTGTGGTTATGAAATCCACCCCCAGCACCTCTGGCCTGGTGACATTTATGAAGTCACCCCCAGCACCTCCGGCCAGGTAGGGTTAGGAAGTTCCCCCCGCCCCCCAGCACCTCCGGCCAGGTGGGGTTATGATGTCCCCCCAGCATCTCTGGCCAGGTGGGATTATGATATCCCTCTAGCACCTCTGGCCAGCTGAGGTTATGATGTCCCCCCAGCACCTCTGGCCAGGTGGGGTTATGAAATCCCCCCAGCACCTCTGGCCAGGTGACATTTATGAAGTCACCCCCAGCACCTCTGGCCAGGTGGGGTTATGAAGTTCCCCCCGCCCCCCAGCACCTCTGGCCAGGTGGGGTTATGATGTCCCCCCAGCATCTCTGGCCAGGTGGGATTATGATACCCCCCAGCACCTCTGGCCAGGTGAGGTTATGATGTCCCCCAGCACCTCTGGCCAGGTGTGGTTATGAAGTCCGCCCAGCACCTCTGGCCAGGTGTGGTTATGAAGTCCTCCCGGCACCTCTGGACAGGTGGGGTTATGAAGTCCTCCGGGCACCTCTGGCCAGGTGGGGTTATGATGTCCCCCAGCACCTCTGGCCAGGTGTGGTTATGAAGTCCGCCCGGCACCTCTAGCCAGGTGTGGTTATGAAGTCCTCCCGGCACCTCTGGCCAGGTGGGATTATGACTCCCCCAGCACCTCTGGCCAGGTGGGGTTATAATACCCCCCCACAGCACCTCTGGCCAGGTGAGGTTATGATGTCCCCCCAGCACCTCTGGCCAGGTGTGGTTATGAAGTCCTCCTGGCACCTCTGGCCAGGTGTGATTATGAAGTCCCACTAGCACCTCTGGCCAGGTGGGGTTATGAAATCTCCCCCAGCACCTCTGGCCAACTGTGGTTATGAAATCCACCCCCAGCACCTCTGGCCTGGTGACATTTATGAAGTCACCCCCAGCACCTCCGGCCAGGTAGGGTTAGGAAGTTCCCCCCGCCCCCCAGCACCTCCGGCCAGGTGGGGTTATGATGTCCCCCCAGCATCTCTGGCCAGGTGGGATTATGATATCCCTCTAGCACCTCTGGCCAGCTGAGGTTATGATGTCCCCCCAGCACCTCTGGCCAGGTGGGGTTATGAAATCCCCCCAGCACCTCTGGCCAGGTGACATTTATGAAGTCACCCCCAGCACCTCTGGCCAGGTGGGGTTATGAAGTTCCCCCCGCCCCCCAGCACCTCTGGCCAGGTGGGGTTATGATGTCCCCCCAGCATCTCTGGCCAGGTGGGATTATGATACCCCCCAGCACCTCTGGCCAGGTGAAGTTATGATGTCCCCCCAGCACCTCTGGCCAGGTGGGGTTATGAAGTCCTCCCGGCACCTCTGGCCGGGTGTGGTTATGAAGTCCCCCCCAGCACCTCTGGCCAGGTGGGGTTATGAAATCCCCTCCAGCACCTCTGGCCAGGTGACATTTATGAAGTCACACCCAGCACCTCTGGCCGGGTGGGGTTATGAAATTCCCCCTGCCCCCAGCACCTCCGGCCAGCTGGGGTTATGATGGCCCCACAGCACCTCTGGCCAGGTGGGGTTATGATGTCCCCCCAGCATCTCTGGCCAGGTGGGATTATAATACCCCCCAGCACCTCTGGCCAGGTGAGGTTATGATGTCCCCCAGCACCTCTGGCCAGGTGTGGTTATGAAGTCCGCCCAGCACCTCTGGCCAGGTGTGGTTATGAAGTCCTCCCGGCACCTCTGGACAGGTGGGGTTATGAAGTCCTCCGGGCACCTCTGGCCAGGTGTGGTTATGAAGTCCTCTGGGCACCTCTGGCCAGGTGTGGTTATGTTGTCCCCCGGCACCTCTGGCCAGGTGTTGTTATGATGTCCCCCCGGCACCTCTGGCCAGGTGTGGTTATGAAGTCCCCCCGGCACCTCTGACCAGGTGGGGTTATGAAGTCCCACAGGCACCTCTGGCCAAGTGTGGTTATGACGTCCCCCCCAGCACCTCTGGCCAGGTGGGGATATAATACCCACCCCCAGCACCTCTGGCCAGGTGAGGTTATGATGTCCCCCCGGCACCTCTGGCCAGGTGTGGTTATGATGTCCCCCCAGCATCTCTGGCCAGGTGGGATTATGATATCCCCCTAGCGCCTCTGGCCAGGTGAGGTTAAGATATCCCCCCAGCACCTCTGGCCAGGTTAGGTTATGAAATCCCCCCAGCACCTCTGGCCAGGTGACATTTATGAAGTCACCCCCAGCACCTCTGGCCAGGTGACATTTATGAAGTCACCCCCAGCACCTCTGGCCGGGTGGGGTTATGAAGTTCCCCCCGCCCCCCAGCACCTCCGGCCAGCTGGGGTTATGATGGCCCCACAGCACCTCTGGCTAGGTGGGGTTATGATGTCCCCCCAGCATCTCTGGCCAGGTCGGATTATGATACCCCCCAGCACCTCTGGCCAGGTGAGGTTATGATGTCCCCCTAGCACCTCTGGCCAGGTGGGGTTATGAAATCCCCCCCAGCACCTCTGGCCAGGTGACATTTATGAAGTCACCCCCAGCACCTCTGGCCAGGTGGGGTTAAGAAGCTCCCCCAGCCCCCAGCACTTCCGGCCAGCTGGGGTTATGATGGCCCCACAGCACCTCTGGCCAGGTGGGGTTATGATGACCCCCCAGCACCTCTGGCCAGGTGAGGTTATGATGTCCCCCCAGCACCCCTGGCCAGGTGGGGTTATGAAATCCCCCCCAGCACCTCTGGCCAGGTGACATTTATGAAGTCACCCCCAGCACCTCTGGCCAGGTGGGGTTATGATGGCCCCACAGCACCGCTGGCCAGGTGGGGTTATGATGGCCCCCCAGCATCTCTGGCCAGGTGTGATTATGATATCCCCTAGCACCTCTGGCCAGGTGAGGTTATGATGTCCCCCCAGCACCTCTGGCCAGGTGGGGTTATAAAATCCCCCGCAGCACCTCTGGCCAGGTGACATTTATGAAGTCACCCCCAGCAACTCTGGCCAGGTGGGGTTATGAAGTTCCCCCCGCCCCCCGGCACCTCCGGCCAGCTGGGGTTATGATGGCCCCACAGCACCTCTGGCCAAGTGGGATTATGACCCCCCCAGCACCTCTGGCCAGGTGGGGTTATAATACCCCCCCACAGCACCTCTGGCCAGGTGAGGTTATGATGTCCCCCCAGCACCTCTGGCCAGGTGTGGTTATGAAGTCCTCCTGGCACCTCTGGCCAGGTGTGATTATGAAGTCCCACTAGCACCTCTGGCCAGGTGGGGTTATGAAATCTCCCCCAGCACCTCTGGCCAGCTGTGGTTATGAAATCCCCCCCAGCACCTCTGGCCTGGTGACATTTATGAAGTCACCCCCAGCACCTCCGGCCAGGTAGGGTTAGGAAGTTCCCCCCGCCCCCCAGCACCTCCGGCCAGGTGGGGTTATGATGTCCCCCCAGCATCTCTGGCCAGGTGGGATTATGATATCCCCCTAGCACCTCTGGCCAGGTGAGGTTATGATGTCCCCCCAGCACCTCTGGCCAGGTTGGGTTATGAAATCCCCCCAGCACCTCTGGCCAGGTGACATTTATGAAGTCACCCCCAGCACCTCTGGCCAGGTGGGGTTATGAAGTTCCCCCCGCCCCCCAGCACCTCTGGCAGGTGGGGTTATGATGTCCCCCCAGCATCTCTGGCCAGGTGGGATTATGATACCCCCCAGCACCTCTGGCCAGGTGAAGTTATGATGTCCCCCCAGCACCTCTGGCCAGGTGGGGTTATGAAGTCCTCCCGGCACCTCTGGCCAGGTGTGGTTATGAAGTCCCCCGCAGCACCTCTAGCCAGGTGGGGTTATGAAATCCCCCCAGCACCTCTGGCCAGGTGACAGTAATGAATTCACCCCCAGCACCTCTGGCCAGGTGGGGTTATGAAGTTCCCCCCGCCCCCCAGCACCTCCGGCCAAGTGGGGTTATGATGGCCCCACAGCACCTCTGGCCAGGTGGGATTATGATGTCCCCCAGCACCTCTGGCCAGGTGGGGTTATGATGTCCCCCCTGGCACCTCTGGCCAGGTGGGGTTATGATGTCCCCCAGCACCTCTGGCCAGGTGTGGTTATGAAGTCCGCCCGGCACCTCTGGCCAGGTGTGGTTATGAAGTCCTCCCGGCACCTCTGGCCAGGTGTGGTTATGAAGTCCTCCGGGCACCTCTGGCCAGGTGTGGTTATGTTGTCCCCCCGGCACCTCTGGCCAGGTGTGGTTATGATGTCCCCCCGGCACCTCTGGCCAGGTGTGGTTATGAAGTCCCCCCGGCACCTCTGGCCAGGTGGGGTTATGAAGTCCCACCGGCACCTCTGGCCAAGTGTGGTTATCACGTCCCCCCCCAGCACCTCTGGCCAGGTGGGGATATAATACCCACCCCCAGCACCTCTGGCCAGGTGAGGTTATGATGTGCCCCCGGCACCTCTGGCCAGGTGTGGTTATGATGTCCCCCCGGCACCTCTGTCCACGTGTGGTTATGAAGTCCCCCCGGCACCTCTGGCCAGGTGGGGTTATGAAGTCCCACCGGCACCTCTGGCCAGGTGTGGTTATGATGTCCCCCCAGCATCTCTGGCCAGGTGTGGTTATGAAGTCCTCCCGGCACCTCTGGCCAGGTGAAGTTATGATGTCCCCCCAGCACCTCTGGCCAGGTGGGGTTATGAAGTCCTCCCGGCACCTCTGGCCAGGTGTGGTTATGAAGTCCCCCGCAGCACCTCTAGCCAGGTGGGGTTATGAAATCCCCCCAGCACCTCTGGCCAGGTGACAGTAATGAATTCACCCCCAGCACCTCTGGCCAGGTGGGGTTATGAAGTTCCCCCCGCCCCCCAGCACCTCCGGCCAAGTGGGGTTATGATGGCCCCACAGCACCTCTGGCCAGGTGGGATTATGATGTCCCCCAGCACCTCTGGCCAGGTGGGGTTATGATGTCCCCCCTGGCACCTCTGGCCAGGTGGGGTTATGATGTCCCCCAGCACCTCTGGCCAGGTGTGGTTATGAAGTCCCCCCGGCACCTCTGGCCAGGTGTGGTTATGAAGTCCTCCCGGCACCTCTGGCCAGGTGGGGTTATGAAGTCCCCCCGGCACCTCTGGCCAGGTGGGGTTATGAAATCCCCCCCAACACCTCTCGCCAGGTGACATTTTGAAGTCACCCCCAGCACCTCTGGCCAGGTGGGGTTAAGAAGTTCCCCCCGCCGCCCAGCACCTCTGGCCAGGTGGGGTTATGATGGCCCCCCAGGACCTCCTGCCAGCTGGGGTTATGATGGCCCCACAGCACCTCTGGCCAGGTGGGATTATGATACCCCCCAGCACCTCTGGCCAGGTGGGGTTATAATACCCCCCCACAGCACCTCTGGCCAAGTGAGGTTATGATGTCCCCCCAGCACCTCTGGCAATCTGGGGTTATGATGGCCCCACAGCACCTCTGGCTAGGTGGGGTTATGATGTCCCCCCAGCATCTCTGGCCAGGTGGGATTATGATACCCCCCAGCACCTCTGGCCAGGTGAGGTTATGATGTCCCCCTAGCACCTCTGGCCAGGTGGGGTTATGAAATCCCCCCCCAGCACCTCTGGCCAGGTGACATTTATGAAGTCACCCCCAGCACCTCTAGCCAGGTGGGGTTAAGAAGTTCCCCCAGCCCCCAGCACTTCCGGCTAGCTGGGGTTATGATGGCCCCACAGCACCTCTGGCCAGGTGGGGTTATGATGTCCCCCCAGCATCTCTGGCCAGGTCAGATTATGATACCCCCCAGCACCTCTGGCCAGGTGAGGTTATGATGTCCCCCCAGCACCCCTGGCCAGGTGGGGTTATGAAATCCCCCCCAGCACCTCTGGCCAGGTGACATTTATGAAGTCACCCCCAGCACCTCTGGCCAGGTGGGGTTATGATGGCCCCACAGCACCGCTGGCCAGGTGGGGTTATGATGGCCCCCAAGCATCTCTGGCCAGGTGGGATTATGATATCCCCTAGCACCTCTAGCCAGGTGGGGTTAAGAAGTTCCCCCAGCCCCCAGCACTTCCGGCTAGCTGGGGTTATGATGGCCCCACAGCACCTCTGGCCAGGTGGGGTTATGATGTCCCCCCAGCATCTCTGACCAGGTCAGATTATGATGACCCCCCAGCACCTCTGGCCAGGTGAGGTTATGATGTCCCCCCAGCACCCCTGGCCAGGTGGGGTTATGAAATCCCCCCCAGCACCTCTGGCCAGGTGACATTTATGAAGTCACCCCCAGCACCTCTGGCCAGGTGGGGTTATGATGGCCCCACAGCACCGCTGGCCAGGTGGGGTTATGATGGCCCCCCAGCATCTCTGGCCAGGTGTGATTATGATATCCCCTAGCACCTCTGGCCAGGTGAGGTTATGATGTCCCCCCAGCACCTCTGGCCAGGTGGGGTTATGAAATCCCCCGCAGCACCTCTGGCCAGGTGACATTTATGAAGTCACCCCCAGCAACTCTGGCCAGGTGGGGTTATGAAGTTCCCCCCGCCCCCCGGCACCTCCGGCCAGCTGGGGTTATGATGGCCCCACAGCACCTCTGGCCAAGTGGGATTATGACCCCCCCAGCACCTCTGGCCAGGTGGGGTTATAATACCCCCCCACAGCACCTCTGGCCAGGTGAGGTTATGATGTCCCCCCAGCACCTCTGGCCAGGTGTGGTTATGAAGTCCTCCTGGCACCTCTGGCCAGGTGACATTTATGAAGTCACCCCCAGCACCTCTGGCCAGGTGGGGTTATGAAGTTCCCCCCGCCCCCCAGCACCTCTGGCAGGTGGGGTTATGATGTCCCCCCAGCATCTCTGGCCAGGTGGGATTATGATACCCCCCAGCACCTCTGGCCAGGTGAAGTTATGATGTCCCCCCAGCACCTCTGGCCAGGTGGGGTTATGAAGTCCCCCAGGACCTCTGGCCAGGTGGGGTTATGAAGTCCCCCCCAGCACCTCTGGCCAGGTGGGGTTATGAAATCCCCTCCAGCACCTCTGGCCAGGTGACATTTATGAAGTCACCCCTAGCACCTCTGTCCGGGTAGGGTTATGAAATTCCCCCTGCCCCCAGCACCTCCGGCCAGCTGGGGTTATGATGGCCCCACAGCACCTCTGGCCAGGTGGGGTTATGATGTCCCCCCAGCATCTCTGGCCAGGTGGGATTATGATACCCCCCAGCACCTCTGGCCAGGTGAGGTTATGATGTCCCCCAGCACCTCTGGCCAGGTGGGGTTATGAAGTCCTCCCGGCACCTCTGGCCAGGTGTGGTTATGAAGTCCCCCGCAGCACCTCTGGCCAGGTGGGGTTATGAAATCCCCCCCAGCACCTCTGGCCAGGTGACAGTTATGAAGTCACCCCCAGCACCTCTGGCCAGGTGGGGTTATGAAGTTCCCCCCGCCCCCCAGCACCTCCGGCCAAGTGGGGTTATGATGGCCCCAGAGCACCTCTGGCCAGGTGGGATTATGATGTCCCCCAGCACCTCTGGCCAGGTGGGGTTATGATGTCCCCCCTGGCACCTCTGGCCAGGTGGGGTTATGATGTCCCCCAGCACCTCTGGCCAGGTGGGGTTATGAAGTCCCACCGGCACCTCTGGCCAAGTGTGGTTATGACGTCCCCCCCAGCACCTCTGGCCAGGTGGGGATATAATACCCACCCCCAGCACCTCTGGCCAGGTGAGGTTATGATGTCCCCCCGGCACCTCTGGCCAGGTGTGGTTATGATGTCCCCCCGGTACCTCTGGCCAGGTGTGGTTATGAAGTCCCCCCGGCACCTCTGGCCAGGTGGGGTTATGAAGTCCCACCGGCACCTCTGGCCAGGTGTGGTTATGATGCCCCCCCGGCACCTCTGGCCAGGTGTGGTTATGAAGTCCTCCCGGCACCTCTGGCCAGGTGGGGTTATGAAGTCCCCCCGGCACCTCTGGCCAGGTGGGGTTATGAAATCCCCCCCAGCACCTCTCGCCAGGTGACATTTTGAAGTCACCCCCAGCACCTCTGGCCAGGTGGGGTTAAGAAGTTCCCCCCGCCGCCCAGCACCTCTGGCCAGGTGGGGTTATGATGGCCCACCAGGACCTCCTGCCAGCTGGGGTTATGATGGCCCCACAGCACCTCTGTCGAGGTAGGATTATGATACCCCCCAGCACCTCTGGCCAGGTGGGGTTATAATACCCCCCCACAGCACCTCTGGCCAGGTGAGGTTATGATGTCCCCCCAGCACCTCTGGCCAGGTGTGGTTATGAAGTCCTCCTGGCACCTCTGGCCAGGTGTGGTTATGAAGTCCCCCCAGCACCTCTGGCCAGGTGGGGTTATGAAATCTCCCCCAGCACCTATGGCCAGCTGTGGTTATGAAATCCCCCCCAGCACCTCTGGCCAGGTGACATTTATGAAGTCACCACCAGCACCTCTGGCCAGGTGGGGTTATGAAGTTCCCCCCGCCCCCCAGCACCTCCGGCCAGGTGGGGTTATGATGTCCCCCCAGCATCTCTGGCCAGGTGGGATTATGATATCCCCCTAGCACCTCTGGCCAGGTGAGGTTAAGATGTCCCCCCAGCACCTCTGGCCAGGTTGGGTTATGAAATCCCCCCAGCACCTCTGGCCAGGTGACATTTATGAAGTCACCCCCAGCACCTCTGGCCGGGTGGGGTTATGAAGTTCCCCCCGCTCCCCAGCACCTCCGGCCAGCTGGGGTTATGATGGCCCCACAGCACCTCTGGCCAAGTGGGGTTATGATGTCCCCCCAGCATCTCTGGCCAGGTGGGATTATGATACCCCCCAGCACCTCTGGCCAGGTGAGGTTATGATGTCCCCCCAGCACCTCTGGCCAGGTGGGGTTATGAAATCCCCCCCAGCACCTCTGGCCAGGTGACATTTATGAAGTCACCCCCAGCACCTCTGGCCAGGTGGGGTTAAGAAGTTCCCCCCGCCCCCCAGCACCTCCGGCCAGCTGGGGTTATGATGGCCCCACAACACCTCTGGCCAGGTGGGGTTATGATGTCCCCCCAGCATCTCTGGCCAGGTCAGATTATGATACCCCCCAGCACCTCTGGCCAGGTGAGGTTATGATGTCCCCCCAGCACCCCTGGTCAGGTGGGGTTATGAAATCCCCCCCAGCACCTCTGGCCAGGTGACATTTATGAAGTCACCCCCAGCACCTCTGGCCAGGTGGGGTTACGAAGTTCCCCCCGCCCCCCAGCACCTCCGGCCAGGTGGGGTTATGATGGCCCCCCAGAATCTCTGGCCAGGTGGGATTATGATACCCCCTAGCACCTCTGGCCAGGTGAGGTTATGATGTCCCCCCAGCACCTCTGGCCAGGTGGGGTTATGAAGTTCCCCCCGCCCCCCGGCACCTCCGGCCAGCTGGGGTTATGATGTCCCCCCAGAATCTCTGGCCAGGTGGGATTATGATATCCCCCTAGCACCTCTGGCCAGGTGAGGTTAAGATGTCCCCCCAGCACCTCTGGCCAGGTTGGGTTATGATGGCCCCACAGCACCTCTGGCCAGGTGGGGTTATGATGGCCCCCCAGCATCTCTGGCCAGGTGGGATTATGATACCCCCTAGCACCTCTGGCCAGGTGAGGTTATGATGTCCCCCCAGCACCTCTGGCCAGGTGGGGTTATGAAGTTCCCCCCGCCCCCCGGCACCTCCGGCCAGCTGGGGTTATGATGTCCCCCCAGAATCTCTGGCCAGGTGGGATTATGATATCCCCCTAGCACCTCTGGCCAGGTGAGGTTAAGATGTCCCCCCAGCACCTCTGGCCAGGTTGGGTTATGATGGCCCCACAGCACCTCTGGCCAGGTGGGATTATGATACCCCCTAGCACCTCTGAGCAGGTGAGGTTATGATGTCCCCCCAGCACCTCTGTCCAGGTGTGGTTATGAAGTCCTCCCGGCACCTCTGGCTAGGTGTGGTTATGAAGTCCCCCCAGCACCTCTGGCTAGGTGGGGTTATGAAATCTCCCCCACCACCTCTGGCCAGGTGACATTTATGAAGTTCCCCCCCTCAGCACCTCTGGCCAGGTGGGGTCATGAAGTCCCCCAAGCCGCCCCTGAGGAACAGGCGAGGCAAGGGCCAGCAGGCACTACTAGCGGGTCGGGACAGCTGCTTCGCTGATGCTGGTTGTGTAGCATGGATGTGTGTAGCGTGACTGTGTTGTGTGGATGGGGCACGGAAATCCGCAGAGACCATCACTGGAGGGAGAAGCTGCAGGGCCGGGAGGGTTCAGCAGGTAAGCAGTTCAGGGTTCCTGGAAAGGCGGGTCCCAATGCATTTGCTGACCGGGCACCTAACGGGCTGCTCTCAAAATCACTGACTGTCACCGAGGCCGGCCAGAGACCCTTATGTATCTGATTCACGATGACACCAGCTAACTCTGAGTACAGTAGAAAACGTACCGTCGGGCAACCAGAAAATGCGCACTCCAGTCCCCACCACGGGACAGCGCCAGGCAGTACCCTCCACAGCCGGAGCTCGAACTGTCGCGAGAATAGCGGTCGGCTTGGAAGTCGCCCGGCGCGGGAGCGCGAACTCTCGCGAGAATGCCGCCAGCTCCGGAGGCGACTGCGGCAGGAGCCCGAGCTCTCGCGCGACAGGCACCAATTCGTTAGACGCGCGCTGCAGGAGCGCGGAACATGGCGCGGCACGGGCCACCGTGGAGTCGGTTGGACGCGCAGCAGGAGCGCGACGTGCGGGAGCTCGTCCGGGGTGTCGCCGGCCTCCAGGACGAGGCAGACCCCAACTTCCAGCTCGCCCTAAACTTCGCCTGGTCCAACTTCAGGTGTGGGGCACGGCGCGCGGGCGGGTTCCCGGCCACAGCCCGGAGCCCGCGCGTGGGTCCCGCACAGCCCGGGGTCGGGGCGCGCTGGGGCAGGGCATGGGGCGGAGGCGGGCGCGGCCTCAGGGAGCCTTCGCAGGCCCTGCCACCGCCTGCTCCCCGCCGGCCAGCGCTCTCGGCGCGGTGCCCTGCGCACCACAGGGCGTGTTACCCGGGACGCGTCCTGATCGTCACGGGGAAAGCGTGAACTGGGTTTCTTGCCGGCCGGCGCGCGCGCCTGCAACCCCAGCGCTCTGGGAGGCCCAGGCGGGACTCCAGGCCAGCTTGGGCAACGTAGCAACTCCATGTTTATAATTTTTTTTTTTTTTAAATTAAAGAGATTGTATTCTCACTGACTCCTGCTCCCTGGTCAGCCCAGTGTAAGATCTCTCACCCTGCTCTCCTTTTTCCAAAACGCGTGTCATGACACTGATTTAACCTGTCATTACTGTCTCCTCCACTTCCACTCCAGCTAGAATGCTGCATCTCTGCACAGCTCCTGGCACGTAGCACGCTGAGTCACCTAATACAATTTCTAATGCAGTTTCTCTTGTAACTAATTTTTAAAGACTTACAGAATTTAGATATTTACGTAAAGTGAGATCTCCTATTTTTCTTTATGGGAGATGTAAATTAATACTTTTAGAGTCATTACCCATAATGAAATTATTACTAAAAAAATGTTAATGTTAATATTCTACCTGTTTAATTTCAGTAAAAATCTTCTTGAATAATGAACAGTTTTTCAAAATCCGTAATCTTAGTTACCTTAATGATCATAGCCATAAAGTGTCTAGTTGGCTTATAATAGGAATACGGGGCTTTCAGATTCTTTTAAACCATGCCAAGTTTCTGAAGTAATAAACTGAATTCTTAAGTGTAACTTATAAAAATAAACAATGTGTGAAATAGGTTATACAATACAGAAACTTAAATGCTGAAATCCAAGTTATTTTTCTACTAATATTTCTAAATGACAGTAGGCAGATTGTCATCATTTTAGAGCTGGGAGAGACGTTGGAGGTTACTATTTTCATTCACAGATTTCAGGAACTAAATTATAATAGGTAAAGTGGTGTTCCATTCACCCATTTACTGGCCTAGAATCATGTGTTTTTCAGTAGTGTAATTTTATTTAAGTACAGATTGCTCGCTTTGATACTAAAAAATGGAAAACATTTTTTGCATAGGCTATGCTATGTACATATACATTAGTTGCATAGGCTGTGCTGTAATTTTATGATGCTTTAAACCATCAGAAAAATGAATAGTTCATGTTTACATTCTTGAAAATTGTGGACTGGGCGCGGTGGCTCACGCCTGTAATCCCAGCACTTTAGGAGGCCGAGGTGGGTGGATCACGAGGTCAGGAGATCGAGACTATCCTGGCTAACACGGTGAAACCCGGTCTCTACTAAAAGTACAAAAAATTAGCCGGGCGTGGTGGCAGGCGCCTGTAGTCCCAGCTACTTGGGAGGCTGAGGCAGGAGAATGGCGCGAACCCAGGAGGCGGAGCTTGCACTGAGCAAGCTCACTTTTCTCTAACTGAAAAGTAGCATCTCCTTCTATTATGAATGAAGGCAGCAAACCATAGCAGTATTAGCCTACCTATGACTTTATCACCAGTAGAAATCGCATACTGTTTTCACATCAGAGTTGTAGATATTTGTAAATGTTGTTTACTGTTACTTTAATGGTAGTTAATTGGACCTACTGCTAAATCTTGTTATTTAATACTTTCATAAATAACATTTCTTGCCATATCTTAAACTTCTTTAAATATTTGACAACTGTATCTCAGTATAATGGGATTCCTTTGTATTTATTTTTTGGCTTTAAAAATGTTATTCAGAGAAGGGGTCCTTAGGCTTCACCGGGCCTCACTATGGCATAAAAAGGTTGGGACCACCTGATGTAGAATGTGTTCAGCTGGACTTAGGTACAGGGGCTTATGGGAAGACAGAGGAGCCAGAGGACAAGGTTGGGAGGGTCAGGAAGAACCTGTGTGCTGGAGAAAGGATGCTTGCACAGTCTCGGACACGGTGATTATTTGCCTGCCTGATGGTGGAGGTAACGGAGGACAAGGTACACTCCATTCTGGAAATGTGTAGCTGAGTACAGAGCATATGGGGGATATGGAGGGCCATGAGATGAGTTCACTTACCTGTGTGACAGAGTTGGCATAAGAATTGCATTTTGTCTTTAATAGATTTCATCGTTTCTTGGATGTCAACAGCCACAAAATAGAAAAAACAATCGAAGGGTAAGTCAGTGTGTATATATACGCATCCAGAAATATATGTATTTTCTTATAGATCTTTTTAAGATAGCTTTATAATCTTTTCTTATATTTTAGAATTTATGAAAAATTTGTCATTCATTCTGATCTAAGCAAAGCTGCTAGTTGGAAGAGATTAACGGAGGAATTTCTAAATGCACCACTTCCCAGTATAAAGGAAATAAAGGTATGCCTTCAATTATGAGATCTCCACTGTGTATTTTACTGTTTCCTATCTGATTATCGTCAATTTGTTTCAGTTACTGTTTAAACATTCTATTTTAGTATTATCTACTGGCTAACGGGATCTCTTGGAAATTTACTTAAATATTGCCATCAAACCAGATATGCCTCAGTTTGTGATGAAAGAAAGAGCTTGTTTTTAATCATTTTTTCACCTCAGTCCTACTAAGGAAAGAGAGATCAGAGATTGATACAAATAGTAGCATTGTTTGGGTATCTCAAAACTTTCAAATGGTTTCTCAGCACTTGGCAGTGACTGTCTGTAGATGCTTACTAGATGCCTGGTATACTTTCATATTGTTTGGGGGATTCCCCAAGACCACCTTTTGGCATAATGATTTGCTCAAAGGATTCACAGAACTTAAAAAAAAAAAGCTGTTATCCTCACTGTTAATAGTTTATTACAGTGAAAGGATACAGATTAAAATCACCAAAGGGAAAAGGTGCTTAGAGCAAAGTCTAGGAGAAGCTAGGCACGCATGTCCAAATGTTCCTTCCTAGTGGAGTCACCTGGGGATGCAGTTAATTCTCTCAGTAACAGTATATGACAACATGTGCAAAGTATTACCCTCCACTCCCCCCAGGGCCACTCGGCTGAGCCTTGGTGACCAGCATTTTTATTGGGGGTGGGTCACATAAGCAAGCAGAGCCCACATGGCTGACCTTAGCTGCTGAGTCTGTAGCCCCCTAGAGGTCAAACCAAGGATGGCAAGCGTATGGAAACAGCTGTGGGTTCCCTGAACACGGTGGGACCACATTCCCTAGCTCTGCTGTGACACATCTTGTGCCTACATAGTTCTTTCCCTTTCTCCTGCCTGAGGAAGCTCACGTTTTAATATTAAACTCAGGCACTGTCTCCACACATGCTATGTATTTCAATTCTTTATAGTTCCTTTCTTGTCTCCCCCTTTAAAAGGCACATTTTACAGGCATAGGGCTCTGTGTCTGATTTGTTCCCGGACACCTAGAGCACAGTGGACAGTGCATGTTTGTTGAGGGAATCAGTAAGGCTGTGCAGTCTTGTCTGCTTCACTATCCCCTCTGTGTCCACAGCCCCCACCCACTTACACAAGGTGGGATTGGTTATCCTTTTCTCTTGCTGTGTGGCATCTTGGATGTGTTTGTTATGGCAGAGGTCCCCAACCCCCACATGGTGGACGAGTACCAATATGTGCCTGCTAGGAACAGGGCTCCATGGCAGGAGGTGCAGTGGGGTGAGTGAGGATGACTGCCTGAGCTCCACCTCCTGTCAGATCAGCGGTGGCATTAGATTCTCATAGGAGAGCAAACCCCATTGTGAACTGCACATTTGAGGGATCTAGGTTGCATGCTCCTTATGACAATCTAATGCCTAATGATCTGAGGTGGAACAGTTTCATCCTTGAAACCAACCCCCACCCAACAGTCCATGGAAAAATTGTCTTCCACAAAACCAGTCCCTGGTGCCAAAACGGTTGGGGATTGCTGTGTGGTGTAGCAATAACTTCACACTTTTTTTCTTTTTTTTTTTTAA
This sequence comes from Homo sapiens, assembly GCF_000001405.40. Taxonomy (NCBI): domain Eukaryota; kingdom Metazoa; phylum Chordata; class Mammalia; order Primates; family Hominidae; genus Homo; species Homo sapiens. The sequence goes on along the minus strand of NT_187659.1, from coordinate 60 downwards.
GACTGAGTGTCACTTTGTCACCCAGGCTTGGAGTGCAGTGGTGCAGTCTCGACTCATTGC